>NT_167249.2:2461895-2654892 GCF_000001405.40 Homo sapiens | reverse complement strand
ACAGTTTTGAGCAGAAGAGAGCCATGATATGACTTCTGTTTTAAAAGGATCTCTCTGACGGCTGTGCTGAGAACAGAATTGAGAGGCGAGGGACGAGGGAGGCAGAAGGGAAAACAGTAGGAATCGAGTGCAGTATTCCAGGCTGGAGATGTCGGTTTCCTTGACTGGGGCATGAGCAGGGGAAATAGTGGGGCGTGAGGGGATTCTGGATGCATTTGAAGATGGACTCACAGCATTTGCCAATGGATTGTATCTGTGGTGTGAGAAAGACGAATCAAGGACACCCATAGTTGTAAAATGAGTGAGTAGAAGGATGGAGCTGCTGTCAGTGGAGATGGGGAGACTCTGGCAGGAGCGTCCTGAGGAGGGGGCATCACAGGCACTCAGTGGAGGAGATGTCTACTAGGAAGGCGGGTGGGGGAGCTGGGTGGAATTTGGACAGACAACTCCAGAGTTTAGGGGAAAGGACTGGGCTGGAGAAATAGATTTAGGAGGTCACACCATATATATGAGACTTAAAACCTCAAGCATGGATGAGGCACAAAGGGAGTGACCGACTATGGAAAAGAATGAGCACAAGGACTGAACCCTGGACCTCCAGTTCTAAGGGGTGTGATCAGACCACACCCAGAGCAGACTGCACAGTTCTGGCCCCACGTCTAGAGGACACTCAGACAAGGAAACCCCATGTGCACCAGGATCATCTGGATGTGGTGCTGAGATCCTGGAAGTCTGGAGTTGAGCAAGAGATTCTGGATTTATGACAAGGCTGGAGCTCATGTTGCTGGTCTCCAGATCACACTTGGAGTAGCAAGAACACCAGGATCCCACACGTCTGAGCATCAGCCTCACCTCTAGGGCTTGTCATATAAATGATTCCTTGGTCTTGTGCGTAATACTCTGAGACAAGGGTTCTGGGGAGTGGCCTGTGTATTTTCTAAGTCCCCGCCAGCAATCCTATTGCTCAGACAGATGGGAGCCACTGAGATCAGTGATCAGAGAGTGCCCAGGGTGGGTGGGTGGGGTGGGTTTTCAAACCCTGTTGAAAAGAGGATTTTTCTCACAGAAAGAAAAGGGAGGCTGTATATCATCAGTTATGAGAGGTGATATTCTCTGTTGTTCTCTCCACCATGGGGTAGAGGCCAGGCAGACAATTCAGGATGTGGCTCTCGCACAAAGAACACCTCTGAATGCCGCTCTCTGACACTCGCCCACAGACTCATTTCTCACTCACTTCTTGGAGAAAACTATGGAAACCAAATTTCTGTAATGTACACATAAAGTTGTATATTGGTATTGGGGGCTAGTTTTATTGTGGGGAAGGCCACAGAACCAGGCTGGAAACTACACATCCAAGAACAGAATTCACAGCCCACCCTGGATCAGGTCTCTCCTAGGAACAACTGCCCCTGCTGCTGAGCACAGACAGCACTGCTCACACCTCTGACATCCTGGTGCTGGACACTGGACCCTGAGGCTAGGACAGATGTCACTGCTGCACCTGGAAATTGGACATCACTACTGTCACTCAGCCATCTTTACTAAAATGCTTTCTGCACAGTCCTAGCCTCTCTGTCACCTCATTCTGGCTGAGTCTGGCAGTGATATAGGAGTGAAGAAGAAATTATTTAGACAGGTAGTGAGGGTACGCAAGGCTTTTAATGGAAAGCAGGCTCCAAATTATTTTCTTTTCTAACAAGGAGCAGCCTGTAATATCAAGCTTCAGACATAGACAAGTAAGCTGGAAGTTTGCACGGGTGAATGCCAGCAGCTGTCCAATAGGAATAGGACGCCTGGGACTGGGCATGTTCACTATGGCGGCTCCATCTTCCCTTCTCTTTGCCAGGCACGTTTACAGTAAGGAGCAGACAACATGTCACCGGCCAAGTGGAAAGCCCATTTGCATAATAGGATGAGGGTGGGGTGAACAGCCTTCCACACGCACTATGTAAATATCATACCTGGTACAATCAACCTGTGGGCCCTACATAAATCAGACACCATCTCCTCAAGCCTGCCTGTAAAATCCGATGCACTCCATTCCAGGCTGGAATTCCCTTTTGGGTGCCCCTCTCTCTCACAAGAAGGAGCTGTTTCCCTTTGTCTTTCTTTTGCCTATTAAACCCTTTGATCCTAACTCACTCCTCGTGTGTCAGTGTCCTTAATCTTCTTGGCGTGAGATGACGAACACTTAGTATTTACCTGAGACAATGACACCTCTTCAGCAGGTGGTCATCAGACTGGTGGAGCTTAAAACTCATGTCCATGATCAACTGCAGGGGTGACTGGAGTGTTGTTGTCCTCTTCCAGGGAGGGAGGTGGTGTCTGTCTCCTCTCAACATTTTACATGTTGTAAACCAAAAATAAACATCAAAGCCACCCCTTCCCAATCATTTTAATGGACACCCTCAGCCAGGGTGCTCAAAAGTTAACCTGAAAGACTGGCTCAGGCCACCATGGGAAGCAGGTATTGAACATGTCTTATTATGCCCTCTTCCCTCTTGGAATTCAGGAAAGGTTGACCAGCATTTACCATCAACACAGACCTTCAGTCTGATCAGAAACATTTACAATCTATTCTCTCTGAAGCCTGGCACCTGGAGGCGTCATCTGTATGAGAATTTTGGACTCCACAAGCTTTTATCATAACCCAGACATTCCTTTCTATTGATAATAACCAATTGCCAATCAGAAAAATTAAAAATCTACTTATAACCCAGAAGCACTACCCCGCAACCCTTGCTTGCTTCAAATTGTTCCAACTTTCTGGACCGAACCAATGTATAGCTTAAATGTATTTGATTGATGTCTCATATCTTCCTTAAATGTGTAAAACCATGTATTTGATTGATGTCTCATATCTTCCTTAAATGTGTAAAACCAACCTGTGCCTCAACCACCTTGAGCACATGTTCTCGGTCTCCTGAGGGCTGTGTCATGGGCTGTGGTCACTCATTTTTGGCTCAGAATAAATCTCTTTAAATATGTTACTGCGTTTGACTCTTTTCATTGACAGTGTGGAATTTTGATGTAGTAAGCGGGTTCAAGTGCTGGAGTGTGAGGGGTGGGGAAAAGTGACAAATTTTAATTCTTGGAGCAGTGATCCAGGACGAGAACTTTATCTAGTACCCAGTAGGCACGAAGAGTGGCTGAATGAACCAGTGACTAATAAATAACATATTTCCACCCATTCCCTTGAGGATAGGTTTACATCAAGTTTTTGTCTATCCCAGTTTATAGTCTAGATTTTTGGAGTGGCATTCTGTAATGATGAAATGATTATTCAAACCTCTTCCCTCAGCATGACTCTTACTAGGATTAAAACTCCCAGGTTTGTAAGATATTAGAGGTTCTGGTTCCACACGATGTTTTATATTAATATTTATATTTTCTTGTGTGTGGAAATATTTCTGGGGAGAGAATCTCTAACATTTATTAGTTTTTATGTGACACCCTCAAAGGCCTAAAAAATCCTAACTTCTAGATTAAAGGTAGGACCACTCCACGTCTAGACAATGAACAGCTGGTAGCAACCTGTGTTTAGGGACATGAAACAAATGCTTACATTTGTTTATCTTTTCCTCTGGGACCAAAGAAGGTAGAGGTTTACTTGCTTACTCTTACTATAAGTTTCTCTCTGTGGGACAGTGATGGGGTTTTCTTCCACCCAAATAACTTTCTGATTCTCCAACAGCAGCTGGGAGTCCCACAATTTGACTCAATTCTGACACTAACTACCTGGAGTTCGCCTCAGACTCTACAGGTTTACCAGCTCAGTCCTACAAGTCTGTCCTCACTTCAGAAGCAAGTCACAAGTATCGGGTCCCAGGTTACCTGCACTTCTGTCTAACATGGCTGCAAAATCAGGGGTTTCTCACCTCCCAAGGATTGAGAATTCTTAAACTAACTCAAAGAACTCAGGAAGTTGCTATAGCCGTGTAAACCAAAAAACGTCTGAGACAGGTCTCAGTCAGTTTAGAAGTTTATTTTGCCAAGCTGAAGATGCACCTTGGAAACAGAGACACAAATCATTGTAGCATCTGTGGCCCATGCTCTTTCCTAACAGGCTTTTGAGGACTTCAATATGTACAGGGGAAAGAGCAGCCAGGAGAGGAAAAAAATAGTCAACTATGCATTCATCTCATGCTCAGTAAATCTGCATTTTAAATAAGATAAAGTAAACGTTGGGTAGAAAAGTCAAATATGCGTTTGACTCTGGGTGGGTGGAGGGATGATTTCTAGTCTTGTCTTTGTCCTGTACCTGTGAAGATAAGCTGTTAATTTACATTGTCAGGGGAAAATTCAACAAAACTGTTTTAGAGTAAACACGTTGGGGCCCACAAGGAATTATCTTGTGAGCGGTTTGTGAGGGAGGCCACCTGGGGAGATATGGGGTCTTCTATCTTTGCAGTTATTTGTTTAGGAATGAAAGAAAGGCAGTTTTTCCATCAGTCTCCAAACTTAATTTTTCCCTTTGGTATAGTGAATTTGGAGTCCTGAAATTTTATTTTCCTTTCACACTCAGTATTGCAGTTTTTTATTGTTATAGCTTAAATCCCCACCTTTTTGGCACCTGGGACTGGTTTCATGGAAGACAGTTTTTCCATGGACTAGTGGAGGTGGTGGAGGGCAGAGGGAAATGGTTTCGGATGAAACTGTTGTACCTCAGATGATCAGGCATTAGCGCTTCATAAGGAGCATGCAACCTAGATCTCTTGCATGCAGAGTTCACAATAGGGTTCATGCTTCTATGAGAATCTAATTCCGCCACTGATCTGACAGGAGGCGGAACTCTGGTGTCATGCTCATGCTCTCTCACCCACTGATCACCTCCTGCTGTGCAGTCTGGTTCCTACCAGGCCAGGAACCTGTACCAGTCCGCAGCCCGGGGGTTAAGGACCCCTGGTTTAAATTATGCCACTAGAGCAGAACTCCTGAGACTGGATAACTTTTAACAAACAGAAATTTGTCTCGTTCATGGTGTCGAGGATGAGAATTCCCAGATCAAGGGACTCTATCTGGTAGAAAACAAAAGGACAAGAGAGGGTGAGAGGTGGGGGGAAAGGAAGTCAAACTCAGCCTCAGGTCCTTTTATGATGAGCCTTAATCCATTAATGAAGGCAGAGCTCTGATGGTCCAATCACCTCTCAAAAGTCCTATTTCTTAAAAATGTTGCATTCGGGATGAAATATCCAACAGGTGCTTTTTTGGGGAAACATTCAAACCATAGCAGTTATAAAGGATACAAATGAGCAGCCAGATGAAGAGGTGCACAGGGTGAGGCCTGGAAGGGCTCTGAGCACAAGAGCCTCTGTCCCCACGGAGATGGGGCTCACCATCCTCCCAGCATGTGGACACACAGATGTGCTCTCCGAAACCCAATCTCCAGAGGTTTCTATGGATATTTCATTGTGTAAGCATGATTAATTAAATCACTGGCCATTGTGTGACTGAACTCAACCTCGAGCCTCTCTTTCCTTCCCAGACTTTAGGGATGGGGCTAACAGTTCCAATCCTCTAATCACAGCTTCGTGTTTCTGGCAACTAGTCCCCATCCTGAAGCTATCTAGGAGCCCCTCACCCCATAGTCATCTCATTGCCATGTTGAAGTCATGTTTATCACTGAGGAGATTGCAAATGTTTTAGAACCTGGTTGTCAGGAAACAGGGAAAAGACCAAATATTTTTACTGGACCACAGATCACACCCTGGTTTTGACCACATTATCTCTTTTTATAATATTTATTATTTTATTTTAGAGATAATCTCTTGCTCTGTTGCCCAGGGTAGAATGCAGTGGCACAATCATAGCTCACTCTAACCTTGAATTCCTGGACTCAAGTGATCCTTCTGCCTCAGCCTCCTGAGTAGATAGCATTACAGGTGCACACCAACATGCCCAACTAATTTTTAAATATTTTGTAGGAATGGGTCTCACTATTCTGCCCAGTCTGGTCTCAAACTCCTGGACTTAAACAATGTTCCTACCATTGCCTCCCAAACTGATGGAATTATAAGTGTGAGCCACTGTGCCTGGCCAATCACAGATCTCCTACACCAGAAGAATCATAACAGTGAAAAGATCCTGGCACATTACCAGAATCCTCTTTGGTCATTAACAATGATCCCAGTGCAATCCATAAACAGGAATAGTTTCAGCAACATATGGCTGCACCCTTTCAGGCATCTGGTAAAATTGAGCTAAGAGACAATATCATCTCTTGCTTATACCTTTTTCAAGTAGTTCATGTAACATTGGATTTTCCTCATTACATAACCCATTTATTCATTCATTTACCCTCAGCTACTATTTCTCCTTCCCTTCATTTATACTAAACATTTATAATTTTGGAAGGAACATTAAGTTCTGCTGCTGTGCTGGCTGAGACTGCAGGGACCAATACTGTTCTAGCAAGTGTCTCTCGTTGGTCCATTCCAGTTCATAGAGGGTAGGGTTATGCAGGTAGAGAACTGGTTTGCTATCTGACCCCAGGCAATACAGCTGCATTCAGTGTTAGCCCCAACTTTGCCAGATGCAGTGAAGGCACAACCTACCTCTACAGGCCCTTAGGAATTATTACATAATGGACATAAAATATATTTACAGTTTCTTGCTCAGGAATAATTCCTGTTTCTGAACTCTATTTGCATCCCTAGTCCTGGGACCACTGCATCAGGTATGAGAAAAGCAAGTTGAGGTGAATTACAGTCATCATTCCAGTGTCCTCCCACCTTGGGGAGGAATATATGTAGATCATACCAGCACCTTCCCCTGATCCACCAGGAAAAGAGAGGATACTCTCATGTCAAGTGTGAGCACACTCATGAAGGTGTATAAGCCCACCCTTCGTGCTTGTTTCCCCACTCTTGCCTTTACACACCCAATTGACTATTTTAATTCTCTATGGAACTCTTCCTCTGAGGAGGATATCTCTCTGACCATTGTTGGACATTTTGAGCAGGTGCATTTTCTGGTGTAAAGAAATACGACTCGGTGGTCTACATGGTTGCAGTACCTCCCATTCAAGTTCTTTTGTAACACTCCGAGCATTTGCATCTGAGATAAAGCAGGGACCTCCCTTAGAAGCCTGCCAGGGCCTCCCAACCTGGAAATAAAGAAAAACCTTCAGTGCCTTCAAGAGAAATTCCAGGCACCTTGCCAGCCCTAAAAAGTAAGTGAGTGACCTTATAAGCAAGACGGTAATGATAGCTTAAAAAAATAGCCAAGGAAGTTAGAGTCACAAGATGTTTGATTCTCTGTAGAAACTAAAAATAACATCTTAACATATGTCCCTGAGTTGTTTTTCAGAAACATGGATTCCCACCTAATAGATCCACTGACAGGGAGACCTTATAAAGGGGAAACTGAGGACTGAACTCTGACTGCCGTTCTTTGTTCTAAATTTCTTCCTGAGGGGCCTGGAGAGAGTCAAGCCCACAGACCAGGCCTGAACATTCCTGTCTACTGCCCCCAACTGTGTAACGAAGCTTTGTAAAGAGGCTTTGCTTCCTTATCTATCACAAATCAGAGAATCTTTAAATCTACCTAAGACCTGTAAGCTCCCTCATCAGGATATTCCACCTTTTAAGGCCAAAGCAGTGTATAACTTCTATGCATTGATTTATGATGTTGCCTGTAACTCTGCTTTCCCGAAATTTGCCCCTGCCTTTAAAAATTCTTGCATGTGAGCCATCAAAAAGTTGGGTCTTAAGCATGAGCTGCCCAATTCTCCTTGTTTGGCGCCCTACACATAAATGCCCTCCTTTGTCCCACTACAATCTCAGTGTGGATGTTTGCTTTTACTGCCTCAGGTGAGTGGACCCCAGTTCAGTTTGGTAACACACCTACTACCAGCTGAACAAAGCCCACTCCAGGGTGAGGATCTATTCCTGCCAAGACCCATTTGCTGCTTCCTGGGGCTACTGGTATCAGTTTAACTTGCCAGCTATGTATTTTCAAGGCCCTCCCATAAAAGAATCTGCCACATAGCCATATACTATCTCTCTTTTTTTTGTTAAAGAAAGGACTTCTTATATGTATTTTGTGCCTGTGATGTGTGGAATGCAAGAGGACTATGTCTTGATTCCACCTATCTCTGCATTGCTACAGCCCCAATGTCTACTTATTTCATGGACTCAGGTGATCACCACAAGCAAACCTGGATTTTTTTTTTGTTGTTATTTTTGAGATGTGGTCTTGATATGTTTCCCTGGCTGGCCTCAAATGTTGCTCAGGCTAAACTCTAACTCCTGGACTCAAGATATCCTTCTGCCTCAGCCGCTCTCATAGCTGGAATTACAAGTGCACCTGGCAAACACTTGGAGATAAATTCTTGTTGATTTCAATCACCTTCCAAACCTGGAAGGGAGTTATTCTGAGGGACACTGAACAGCACTGAGGGGACGGTGCTAAACCATTCATGAGAAACTGACCTCGTGATCCAACCACCTCCCTCCCTCCGGGCCCCACCTATAATGCTGGGGATCACATCTCGACATGAGGTCTGCACAAGAACAACATCCAATCTATATCAGGTATCAACAGATCTTACATTAATGAACCCCTCAAATTACCATAGTGATTTCCGTGGGACTTGGCTCACATGGGCATTCTTTTCATAGGCAAGTTTTTCATTGCTCTCCTGATTAATTATACGGCCAGGCCATTAGTCACTCCCTGTAAGTCAGTAAAAACTAAAACGTAGGAGCTTTATCATTGTTCAATTCTTCCACCACTGCTAAGAAAACACCATGCAATTAAGTCCACAACAGCTTTTCTGTTTTTACCTTCTTTGATCAAAGAAGTGGACTTCCAAACAGTATGTTGTCCATTCATCTTGCAAATGCTGTACACAAACCAACCAGCTGTTAGTGGGTCAGTTGACTGATACTGCAGTTCAAATCCCAGCGCTGTCTGCTACAGAGTTCCATCTTGCTCAAGAGAGGTCAGTGTTTTGTTTAATTTACACCTTCAGTGAATTGAATGAAGCCCACTCACATTATAGACATTAATCTACTTTATTCAAAGTCTGGCTATTTATGTGTTAATCTCATCCAACAAACATCCTCACAAATCATCCAGAATAATGCTTGACCACCTATCCAGGCACGATGCTTTACCCAAGATGACCAATAAATTTTTTTTTATTATTATACTTTAAGTTCTAGGGTACATGTGTACAACGTGCAGGTTTGTTACATATGTATACATGTGCCATGTTGGTCTGCTGCACCTGTTAACTCATTATTTACATTAGGTATTTCTCCTAGTACTATCCCTCCTCACTGCCCCCACCCCACGACAGGCCCCGGTGTGTGATGTTCCCCCCTGTGTCCAAGTGTTCTCATTGTTCAATTCCCACCTATGAGTGAGAACATGTGGTGTTTGGTTTTCTGTCCTTGTGATAGTTTGCTCAGAATGATGGTTTCCAGCTTCATCCATGTCCCTACAAAGGACATGAACTCATCCTTCTTTATGGCTGCATAGTATTCCATGATGTATATGTGCCACATTTTCTCAATCCTATCTACCATTGATGGACATTTGGGTTGGTTCCAAGTCTTTGCTATTGTGAATACTGCCACAATAAACATACATGTGCATGTGTCTTTATAGCAGCACGATTTATAATCCTTTGGGTACATACAAAGTAATGGGACCACTGGGTCAAATGGTATTTCTAGTTCTAGGTCCTTGAGGAATTGCCACACTGTCTTCCACAATGGTTGAACTAGTTTACAGTCCCACCAACAGTGTAAAAGTGTTCCTATTTCTCCACATCCTCTCCAGCACTTGTTGTTTCCTGACTTTTTAATGATCGCCATTCTTACTGGTGTGAGATGGGATCTCATTGTGGTTTTGATTTGCATTTCTCTGATGGCCAGTGATGATGAGCATTTTTTCATGTGTCTGTGGCTGCATAAATGTCTTCTATGGAGAAGTGTCTGTTCATATCTTTTGCCCACTTTTTGATGGGGTTGTTTGATTTTTTCTTGTAAATTTGTTTGAGTTCCTTGTGGATTCTGGATATTAGCCCTTTGTTAGATGGGTAGATTGTAAATATTTTCTCCCATTTTGTAGGTTGCCTGTTCACTCTGATGGTAGTTTCTTTTGCAGTGCAGAAGCTCTTTAGTTTAATTAGATCCCATTTGTCAATTTTGGTTTTTGATGTCATTGCTTTTGTTGTTTTAGTCATGAAGTCCTTGCCCATGCCTATGGCCTGAAAGGTATTGCCTAGGTTTTCTTCTAGGGTTTT
This sequence comes from Homo sapiens, assembly GCF_000001405.40. Taxonomy (NCBI): domain Eukaryota; kingdom Metazoa; phylum Chordata; class Mammalia; order Primates; family Hominidae; genus Homo; species Homo sapiens. The sequence continues at coordinate 2,644,637 of NT_167249.2, read as the reverse complement.
TATGGTTTTAGGGATGATCAGTAAAATTAATTATGACATTCTTCAATATAAGAATACTCTGAGGAAATTAGCCTGTGATCTAATAAAACAAGGAGCAAACAACTGTTTCTAAAAATTTACAAGCAATAGTCAAAAAGCCCTCCCTAGAGATTGTTTCTCACGTTCACTCTATAATTCTGGGTAAAAAAAAAGCACGTATTTGTTGAAAACCACAGAAGAAGAGAAAATTGAAAAAGCAGAAAGTGAAAAAATAAGAATAATAATAAAGATGACAGCAGTTATTTCATTGGAAACAATGCAAATGAGGAGACAGATGAGCAACATCTTTAGAGTCCTAAAAGGAAAATGCTGTGAAACTAGATTCTATTCCCAGAAAATAATACCTTTTTCAAATATATATGTATAGTTTTAATTGACAAAGTATAATACATTCGTGAGATATTGTTTAATGTATTGATATATGTGTACCCTATGTAATGATTAAATTAAGCTAACACACCTTGAATATATCTATCAAAAAATAAAGGGATTTTAGGCCAGGCATGGTGGCTCATGCCTGTCATCCCAACACTTTGGGAGGCCGAGGTAGGTAGATCACGAAGTCAGGAGTCAAGACCAGCCTGACCAACATGGTGAAACCTCGTCTCTACTAAAAATACAAACATTAGCTAGGCATGGTGGCATGCTCCTGTAATTCCCAGCTACTCAGGAGGCTGAGGCAGGAGAATCACTTGAACATGGGAGGCGGGGGTTGCAGTAGGCCAATATCACACCATTGCACTCCAGCCTGGGCAATAGAGTGAGACTCTGTCTCAAAAACAAACAAACAAACAAACAAACAAACAAACAAATGGATTTTAGACATACAGGGAGTGAAAAAATAACCAGCAGACCTAAACTATAATAAATGTTTCAGTCCTCTAGGCAAAAAGAAAATTAAGGGACTAGTTGGCACAGCATTTAATGATGAAGAGACAACTTCATCGCCCCCTCCCACTGAGACAGAGAACACAGCCCCAGGGCCTGGGAATTCCTCAACCCAATCCACCACCTTGGGCACCTGTGCACTCCTCCTGGGTACCTGAGGTTGGATGCAATCACCTTAGCTGTCACCTACGTGCAAACACCACCTATGGGCATCCCACCCAGCCTATCGCATCTGCCGCTAACAGTGCACACTGCTTGGGACCCAGAGAAGCAGCCCACCACTGCCACTGCCAAGCTGGCTGCCCAGGAGCCGAAGTCCCCAGCACCTACCCAGTCAACCACTGCCACTACTGCCATCCAAGCAAGCCACCTGGAGGCCCAGGAATCAGCCCACCAGTAACCACCAACACAAATGCCAGTATATACCACCTTGGGGCACAAAGATAGGAACACTCAGCACACCACTGCCACCACTGGAGCCTGAAGACTGTCTCATGTGGCATCTCAGTCCCCAGCACATTTTCACCACAGCCTCACTAGTAACCACACCCTAATGCACAGAAGAAATCACAGATACCATTAACACTGTCTACAGCCAAAGAAATTATACAGAGGCCATAGTACTCTACTATGTACTACACCCAGAATCAAATCCAAAGTACCCTACGCAACCAACACCATAGACTCATCTTCAGGAAAATGCTCTCCACTATGAAATAAAATTCAAAAATAGGAAGAACTGACTGTTATATCAGATGCAAAAATATTAACGTTAGGACACAGAAACATGAAAAAGCAAAAAAGAAAAAAAAAAGCCGCAAAGGAAGACAATAGATCTTAATCAAAAAGAAATTTTCAAGATTCTAGATAAAGGACTCAAAACATTCATTTTACAGAAGTTCAGTGAGATGCAAAAGAATTCTGAAAAAAATACAAAGAAAACATAAAAATAATTCAGGATACAAATAAGAAGTTTACAAAAGATATAGATTTAAAAAAAACAGAAATTCTGGAATTAAAGAATTCACGACATGAAATTCCAAATACATTTGAAAGCTTCAACAACATACTAGGTCAGGCAGAAGGAAGAATTCCAAAACTTGAAGATATACATAGTGAAATAATTCAATAAGACAAAAACACACACAAAAAAAGAATGAGCAAAGCCTTTGTGACATTTGGTACAATATAAACAACCAAATATTCAAATTATTGGTATCCTCAAGGGCAAAGAGACAAAGAACAGATTAGAAAACCTATTTAATGAAAGAATAGATGAATAATTCCCAACTCTAGCAAGTGATTTAGACATTCAGATACAAAATGTTCAATAATTCTGAGAAAAATACAATGCAAAAAGTTCCTCACCATGGCATATAATCAGACTTTCTATAGTATAAGGTAAAATGCAAATCCTAAAAATAGCAAGAGGAAAGTGTTTAGTCACCTATAAAGGAAACCCCATCAGACTAACAGCAAATTTCTTTTTCTTTTTTCTTTCTTTTTTCTTTGAGACGGAGTCTCGCTGTGCTGCCAGGCTGGAGTGCAGTGGCATGATCTCGGTTCACTGCAACCTCTGCCTCCTGGGTTCAGGTGATTCTCCTCCCTCAGCCTGCCAAGTAGCTGGGATGACAGGCACACGCCACCACACACAGCTAATTTTTTTTTTTTTTGTATTTTTAGTAGAGACGGGATTTCACCAAGTTGGCCAGGATGGTCTCAATCTCTTGACATCATGATCCACCCACCTCAGCCTCCCAAAGTGCTGGGATTACAGGTGTGAGCCACTGTGCCCAGCTCTAACAGCAGATTTCTTAGCAGAAATCTTACAGGCCAGAAGAGAATAGGATAGTATAATCAAAGTCCTGAAGGAAAAGAACTGCCAAGCCAAGAGTAATAAACAAAACATAAGTATTCTTCATAATTGAAAAAAGAAATTATCTTTCCAAGACAAGCAAATGCTGAAAGGCTTCATTACCACTAGACAGGGCCTACAGGAAATGCTCAAGAAAGTCCTAAACCTGGAATTGAAACGACATTTTCAACATTTCCACATTATCACCATGAAAACATACACAAGTATAAAACTCACTGGTAAAGCAATCACACAAAAGAGGAAGAGAAAGGTCTCAAATGGTCCTACTACAGAAATCCACCAAACCATAATGACAAGCAATAAGAGAAAAAGACAGTAATAAAGGACATATAAAACAACCCGAAAACAACAATGTGATAGGAACAAAGCTGTTGGGAACAGGCCTCCAAAAATCTGGCCATAAACTGGCCCCAAAACTGGCCATAAACAAAATCTCTGCAGCACTGTGACATGCTCATGATGGCCATGATGCCCACGCTGGAAGGTTGTGGGTTTACCGGAATGAGGGCAAGGAACACCTGGCCCACCCAGGGCGGAAAACTGCTTAAAGTCGTTCTTAAACCACAAACAATAGCATGAGTGATCTGTGCCTTAAGGACATGCTCCTGCTGCAGATAACTAGCCAAACCCATCCTTTTATTTTGGCCCATCCGTTTGTTTCCCATAAGGAATACTTTTAGTTAATCTATAATCTATAGAAACAATGCTTATCACTGGCTTGAGTTAATAAATATGGGGGTAAATCTCTGTTCGAGGCTGTCAGCTCTGAAGGCTGTGAGATCCCTGATTTCTCACTTCACACCTCTATATTTCTGTGTGTGTGTCTTTGATTCCTCTAGTGCCACTGGGTTAGGGTCTTCCCGACTGAGCTAGTCTTGGCACAAAGCCTCACATATTAATAAAAATCTGGAATGTAAACAGATTAAATTCTCCACTTATAAGATTTAGAATGGCTGAATGGGTAGAAAACATGATCTAACTACATTCTGCTTACAGAAAAACTCACCGGTAATACCACCTCACCACAATCCATAGAGACAGAAGGTAAAAGAATGGCAAGAGGTTATCTATGGAAACCAAAAGTGAGCAGGAGTAGCTATACTTATAGCAGATAAAATAAACTGTAAGTCAAGAACAACTTTTTTAAAAGATAAGGAAGGCCATCACGTAATCATAAAGAGATCCTTCCAAGAAAAGAATAGAACAATTCTAAATATATATGCACTAAACACTGGAGAACCTAGACTCATAAAACAAATATTACTACATCTAACAAGAAAGATAGACTCCAATACAATAATAGTAGGAGACTTCAACATCCCAACCTCAGCATGAGACAGATCATCTACATAGAAAATCAAGAAAGAAACATTGGATTTAAACAGAATTTTACACCAAATAAAGCTAACAGATATTTATAGAGCATTCTATCTAACACTACAGAATATACACTCCTTTCATGAACACATGGAACATTTTCGGGGAGAGAGCCTATGTTAAGCCACAAAACAAGTCTGAACAAATTTTCAAAAATTGAAATCATTAAATATATTCTCTGGCCACAATGGAATAAAACTAGAAATATACACCAAGAGAAATGTTGGCAACAAGACCAATACATGGAAATTAAACAACATGCTCCTGAATAACCATTGAGTCAACAGAGAAATTAAGATGTAAATTAAAAAGTTTCTTGAAACAAATGAAAATGGAAACACAACATACCAAAACCTGTGGGATACAGCTAAACAGGGCTAAAAGGGAGGTTTATAGGAATAAATACCTACCTAAGAAAAGTAGAAACATTACAAATTAACAATATAACAATGAACCTCAAGGAACTGGAAAAGCAAGAAAAAAACACATCAAAAATTAGCAGAAAAGAAATAATAAAGATCATAGTAGAACTAAATAAAGACTTTTAAAAACCATGTAAATGATCAACAAAGTGAAAAGTTTGTTCTTCAAAAACATAAACAAAATTGATAAACCACTAGCTAAACAAACCTAGAAAAAAAGAGAGAAAATTTGTTAAGAATAAAAGTTCCTCTTCAAAGTTTTCCTTTTTGGTTTAGAATGATAAGTGTTAAGAAGATAGTTCCTCTTAAAAGCTTCCTTTAAGTTTCCCTTGCTCTTCATACTAACAAATCTTCTATTTTACTAATGATTCTTTATTGTGCCCTCAAGGAGTTGATACATACAGTAAAGAAATAAACACATTCTATGTTCTTGTACTTGAACCAAGGCCTAACTCCTTTGTCCCCTAGTCTGCCTGGATCTGCCTGGACATGCCCAGACATGTCCCAGCTCGCAGATTATGCTCTTTCCTTATTTGGAAATATTATTGTCTTCCTGGTTTCCCATAAGTGACCCCCTCCTTTCCTTTGTTCCCCATTGCACCTTTACCTTATTTGGGAAAGTTTAAGTTTTTAGCCAACTGGGATCAGTTTAGATTGTGTGGTCCAGTTCCAGCCAATGGAGACAGGACACAATAGTAGAAACAACTTGCGTTAGGAATAAAAACCCCTGTTTTCCTTTGTTCTGGGTGCTCTCATGGCAATCAGGCTTATGGGTAGCACCCTTCTGCAGAAGTAAAAATTGCCTCGCTGAGAAATCCTTTGTTCAAGTGTTTGTTTTCTTTGTGACTCCGAGCTTTATTTCTAACAATTTTCTGGGGGCTCGTCCACTATTCCCATTCTTCTTTGGGAAGGGGTCTTTGGTCACCCCATCTAGGGGAGGTGCACCCCACTGCCCCACTGCAGTGGCCCCAGGGACGGGAGACTGAGACTACCCATTGTGACGAATAAATCCAGGCTCTCAGCAATGTGGAAGGAGAAGGCCTGCAAGTACCGCGATGACCAGGTAACTGTGCACAGACCAAGGTAAAAAAAAGTCACAAGGGCAACAGTATTTCCTTGGTGGTCGGCATATTCTGGAGGTTAAAGGGTGTGAAAGGTAACAAGCACTACTGCTGTGCGGAGTGAGTGAGTCCAATCTGTGGTTCTGTGGTCACCTCATATGGCTTATGGTGGCCCTCTTGTAGGGATCCTGACATTGGGGTTTATACAATCCCGCTGATGCTAAGGGGAGCCTAATTTCCTCTGGGAAAGCAGCCAGAGTGGACGAAGCAGAAGGAGAAGATTGCAAGGAACCTCCAGGATAGGGGTTAAACCTCCAGGGAAGGATAGGTGAGAAATCTCTAGTTCAAGGGACTGAGCCTAACCAGTATTCAACATGGGAAATACCCTGAGTAAGACAGAAGGTAAAAAGGAAAAGGCAGACAGTGAAATCACCTCTGATAGTCCTTTAGGACTCATGTTAAAATATTGGAAGGATACGAGAGGACTAAACATAAGAAAAAGCAACAGATGATAAAGTATTATTGTTTCATTTGGACCAAGGAACCTATTCTAAAGCCTTCAGTTTTCTGGCCAAAATTCGGGTCAAATGAGGATTGGACTGCCAGCTTTTAATAGAATATGTAAATGATAAAAGTCCTGTTTCCCAGGAGGAAATACATTATGCTCTGTGTTGGTGGCAAAGGCCCATCCTCCTTTGTCATCTGAAAACTAAAGGAGAGAAGCCAGAAACTACTTCTCATGAAATTAATACCCCTTACGCCAAGAACCCCACCAACACATGGGACCCCTTAGACCACCTTCCCCCACCAAACCTTCTTCCCCCCAACCAGTAGACCAACATCCCCCACCTCCCACTCCAGTAGATATAACAGTCCCAGACCTTTCCCCTACTCAGATTTTCTTTCCCTCCTTATAACCCTGATTCTTGGGGTCATCCCCAGCTTGAATGCCCTCCCTCAGGAAGACTTCAACGTGAGTTAGAACAATGTAAAAATGATATCCAAAACTTCCATTTTCTCCCTTCTTCTAGGGGTTCAGCTACAAACCACTTCCCATTGAGGGAAGTGTCTCTAGGAGGAGGGGGCATTGCCTTTGTAAATGCTCCCCTGACCAGTTCAGAAGTCTGGAGCTTGAAGAGGGAACTCAAGCCACTCTTAGACGATCTCTATGTAGTGACAGATCAAATTCATCAATTTTTAGGACTCCAGTTGTATACTGGGCTGAGTTAATGTCCATCATAGGCATTCTTTTTTCAGGGGAAGAAAGGAGCATGACGCACAGGGCTGCTATGACCATTTGGGAGTGTGAGCATCCTCCCGGTCAAAACGTCCCTGCAGCCAAACAGAAATTTCCTACTCAAGATTCCCAGTGGGATAATAACAACATAGCTCATAGGAGGAATATGAGAGACCTGCAAGAAATGATAATAAAAGGAATTAGAGAATCGTTACCCTGCACCCAGAATATGACCAAAGCTTTTAATATACAGCAAGGAAAAGATGAGGGGCTTATGGAATTTTTTAACAGGCTTAAGGAACAAATGAGGAAATATGCTGGTTTAGATGGAGGAGACCCACTTGGACAAGGAATGTTAAAGCTTCACTTCGTCACAAATAGCTGGCCAGATGTTACCAAGAAATTACAAAAGACAGAAAATTGGAAGGACTGTCCCATAGAGGAACTCTTAAGGGAGGCCCAAAAGGTGTATGTACGAAGAGATGAAGAAAAGTAAAAGGACAAGGCAAAGATTATGCTGTTCTTACAGCAGGGAACTCCCCAATAGACAGCTCAAAGAAATGTCACTGGTAAATCTTTTAGGTACCCGACTGCCAGACCCTATAATGGAGGTAAAGGAATCAAACCAGGGAACAAGGGAATAAAAAGAGGAATAGGGCAGAATAAATGCTTCAAGTGTGGGAAGGAAGGTCACTTTAAAGAGAATGCCCTGAATGGAAAAAAGAAAAAGAAATCACCCACTTATGATCTTTGAAGAGGAATGGGGGGCAAGGGGCTCTACTCTTTTTACCTCGAGTCCCACCAAGAGCCCTTGATAAATTTAGAGGTGGGACCCAAACCTTTTTAACTGACTCAGGAGCTGCTGATTCCTCAGTTTGTTATCTTCCCCTGGTGTAACTTGGTCACAAGAAGAACTTTTTATTTTGGGAGCAAAAGGGGAGGGGTTTAAAGCAAAAGTCTTCGAAGAAGCAAAAATTAAATATCAGAACCACTCAGTAACTATTAAACTTCTGTTAATAATGGAGGCAGGAACAAACCTATTAGGAAGAGATTTAATGCTAAAATTAAACCTAGGCCTTTATGTTAATCAAGGAAATCTCCTCCCTTCCTTAAATTTGCTTGCTACTCTAAATGAGGGATACATCCATCCAGATGTATGGTCAAAGGAAGGAAACCGAGGAAAATTATGAATTTCCCCAATCCAAGTTAAATTGAAAAAGCTGGGGGAAGTGGTAAAAAGAAAACAATAACCAATTCCCTTAGAAGCTAAGATCAATTTAAAGCCCATAATAGAAAGCCTTCTCCATTGTGGACTCATTGAACCCTGTATGTCTCCTTATAACACTCCCACACTACCTGTGAAAAAGCCAGATGGGTCATATCGGCTAGTGCAAGATCTTCGATCTATTAACCAAATAGTTCGAACAACTCACCCTGTTGTTCCTAATCCTTATACTATTATTAGTAACATTCCATACAACCATGAGTGGTTCACAGTAATAGATCCAAAGGATGCCTTCTGGGCTTGCCCACTAGCAAAGATAGTCTTTGAATGGGAGGACCCTCACTCTGGTTGAAAATAACAGTATCGATGGACAGTTTTGCCCCAGGGATTTACAGAATCTCCAAATTTGTTTGGTCAAATACTAGAACAGATCATAGAAAAGTTTTACAAACCACCATATATATGCCTGCTCCAATGCATGGATAATATCCTTATTTCAGGGGAGGATAGACAAAAAGTAGAAGGATTTTCAATAGGTTTTTTAAAAATAATTTACAACTGGAGGGGTTACAAGTGTCAAAAAAGCAAACTTCAGTTTGTAGAACCTGAAGTCAAGTATTTAGGGCACTTAATCAGTAAGGGCAAATAGAGAATTGGATTTGAATGGATTGAAGGCATCATATCCTTACCTCTGCCTGAGACAAAGAAGGAACTTAGAAAATGTTTAGGGTTAGTAGGGTATTGTCGCTTATGGATAGACTCTTATGCTTTAGTAACCAAACCTCTATATAAAAAAACTTACACAGGATGAATTGGACCCCCTTATATGGTTTTTACCAGAAATACAGCAGGTAAAAAAATTAAGAGTTACTAGTGACAGCCCATGTTCTAGCCTTACCCTCTTTAGAATTGCCCTTTCATCTTTTTGTTAATGTAGGTAATGAGTAGCCTTAGGGGTACTTACTCAAACACATGGAGGCCATTGGCAACCCACAGCCTTCTTGTCAAAAATTCTTGACCCAGTAGCCCATGGATGGCCCGAGTGTGTCCAATCAGTGGCAGCAACAGCCTTGCTCACAGAGGACAGCAGAAAATTAACCTTTGGGGAAATCTTATCATTAGTGCTCCTCACCAAGTGAGAACAATTCTCAATCAGAAGGCGGGAAGGTGGCTTACTGATTCAAGAATTTTAAAGTAAGAAGCCATCTTGTTAGAAAGAGATGATCTAACCTTAACCACTGATGACTCAATTAATCCAGCTGTTTTCTTAACAGGAAACCCCAACCCACAGACCCTTGATCTTTGCCCAGAGCACAGATGTTTAGATTTAATTAGTTATCAAACAGAAGTTAGACCTGTTTTAAATGAAACACCCTTTCAGACTGGGAAACACCTGTTTATAGATGGTTCCTCCTGAGTAATCAAAGGAAAAATGCATAACGGGTATTCAATGATAGATGGAGATACCCTCACAGAAATAGAGTCTGAAAGGTTACCAAATGAGTGGTCTGCACAAACATATGAGTTGTTCACATTAAATCAGGCCTTAAAATTTCTGCAAATCAAGAAGGAACAATCTATACAGACTCCAGGTATGCCTTTGGAGTAGTCCATACTTTTGGAAAAATTTGGACTGAGTGGGGCCTCATTAACAGCAAAGGTCAAATTTTAGACCATGGGGACCTAATAATACAAGTACTAGAAAATTTACAATTGCCAAAAGAAATAGCTGTTGTACATGTCCCACGACATCAAAAGAATCCTTCATTTGAAGGCGAGGGAAATAATCCCACTGACCAAATAGCTAAGCAAGCTGCCTCTTCTCCAGCAGAACCCATTTTTTGACTAACCCCTTGTCTTCCATCTTCAGCTGCACTCCCTATCTTCTCTCAAGCAGATCAGGAAAAACTAAAAAAAATAGGAGCTGAGGAAAACTCAGAAGGAAAGTGGGTATTACCAGATGGAAGAGAAATGTTATCCAAACCTCTTATGAGGGAAATATTGTCACAGCTTCATCAAGGATCTCACTGGGGTCCTCAAACCATGTGTGATGCAGTCCTTAGGGTTTATGGGTGCATAGGAATATACACCCTCGCCAAGCAAATGGTGGAAAGTTGTATAGTGTGCAGAAAATCTAATAAGCAGACCCTATAAAAACAACCTCCTGGAGGAAGAAATCCTAGGTTAAGGCTATTTCAAAGTGTCCAAGTTGACTCTACTGAAATGCCCCCAATAGGCCGCCTTAAGTATTTACCAGTAATAGTAGATCATCTTACCCACTGGGTAGAAGCCATCCCTTTTCCAAGTGCAACAGCCAGTAACGTGGTCAAAGCTCTGTTAGAACATATCATACCCAGGTTTGGAATAATAGAGAACATTGATTCAGATAATGGGACCTAATTTACCATGCACATTATTAAAGGCCTAATCCAAGTATTAGAGATAAAATGGGAATATCATACTTCCTGGTCTCCACCTTCATCAGGGAGAGTAGAAAGAATGAATCAAACTTTAAAGAGTCACATAACCAAATTAATCTTAGAAACTTGGCTACCATGGACAAAATCTCTTCCCATTGCTTTACTAACAATCCAAACTTTCCCTCGGAGGGATCTTGGCCTGTCTCCTTATGAAATGCTTTGTGGGTTACCTTATCTAAACACTACTACTGACCTTCCTATGATCGAAACAAAAGATCAGTTCCTTAGAAATTATGTATTTGGTCTGTCTTCCACTCTTTCTTCCCTCAGGACTCAAGGTCTCCTAGCACAGACTCCACTCCTTGAATTCCTGGCCCACCAACATCAACCCAGAGATCACGTCCTTATCAAAGGCTGAAAAGAGGGAAAGCTTGAGCCTACCTGGGAAGGACCCTATCTGGTGCTCACAACAACTGAAACAGCAGTTCAGACCACTGAAAAAGGGTGGACTCATTATACTCAAGTCAAGAAGGCATCACCTTCTCTGGAGACATGGACCGTTATTCCGTCAACTCCCACCAGAGTAACGATAAAAAGAAAAACTTAATATATCTATCTTTTTTCTTCTTTTCTTTCCCTTAACTGCCCCCATCTCATCATTAATGTAACTAGATCAAGTTTGCCCAAAATTATTACCTTTGATGCTTGTCTAGTCGTGCCTTGTGGAAATTTACAGGACCAAAGAGCTTACTGCCTCATTTAAATATCTTCGTCCGTCTTGGACTTCCTCAGATTGGAAAGATATAGCAAATTCTTGTAAAGATCATGATAACTCCAAAAAGTAGTTGTATTAACTGGTGGGAATGGGACTCTTGTCCCCTTAAAACAGAGTCCATATGCTATACTTGGTCTAATGTCCTACGGAACACCAAAGGTCCAGGCTGGACTGCTCCCACCAGTCTTTGCCAGTCCTTAAAGCCATATATCCATCTTACAAAAGGGATTGCCTCTTCTAATTGTCCATATAACCAATGTAATCCTATTTGGCTTACTATTACTATTGCAACATCCCAAAACTCTTCCCCTTCATTAAGTCGTATTTATGGCATAGGGGCCAACATCTCGGGAAAGTTGCCCCTTCCACCTCTCTATCACATCTTCCTCAAACCATCACCCCACCTATACTCAGTGACAAAGCCAAAGTAGCTATAGTAGAAGTAAAAGACCTGAGGCAAACTCTAGCCATTGAAACAGGGTCTCAGGATGCAAATGCCTGGGTGGAATGGATTAAATATTCCATCCACAGTCAAAATAAGAGAGATTGTTATGCTTGGGCACACAGCAGATCAGAGGCCCAAATTATCCCCTTTCCACTGAGATGGTCTTGTAATAGACCAGATACGGACCGCATGGTAGCTCTGCTCCAAGACCCCACAGCCTGGGGTAATAAATCATGTCAAACACTTTCTCTGCTATTCCCTGTGGTCCAGCACCCCGTAGGTCAGCCCCCGAAGGCCATTCAGCCTCCATCTTCTGGGACCAAATTTGCTTCGTGTCTCTCACAACAGGGAGAAAATTTGGCTTTCCTTGGAAACCTCATGGGATGCAGGGAGGTCAAGCACTTCCAAGAGCTAACCGATCAGTCTGCCCTTATCCATCCCCAAGCAGATGTATGGTGGTATTGCGGTGGACCTTTGTGGGACACTCTGCCAAATAACTGGAGTGGTACTTGTGCTCTGATTCAATTGGCTATCTCTTTCACCCTGGCATTTCATTCGCCAAAAGAATTAACAACCAGGCATCGTAGTACAAGAAGTGTTCTTGTGAGTCTTTTGATCCCAGCGTTTATATAGATGCTATTGGAGTACCAGATGAATTTAAAGCTTGAAACCAAATAGCTGCAGGATTTAAGTCATTATTCAGGTGGGTGGCTATCAATAAAAATGTAGACTGGATAGCCATGTGCAGTGGCTCACGTCTGTAATCCCAGCACTTTGGGAGGCCAAGGCGGGTGGATCACGAGGTCAGGAGTTTGAGACCAGCCTGACCAACATAGTGAAACCCTTTCTCTACTAAAAATACAAAAATTAGCTGGGCGTGGTGGCATGCAACTGTAATCCCAGCTACTCAGGAGAGTCACTTGAACCTGGGAGGCGGAGGTTGCAGTGAGCCGAGATCGCACCACTGCACTCCAGCCTGGGCGACAGACTGAGACTCCATCTCAAAAAAAAAATGTAGATTGGATAAATTATATTTACTACAATCAGCAATAATTCATTAATTGCACAAGGGATGCTATGAGGGAATAGCTGAGCAACTAGGACCCACCAGACAGATGACTTGGGAAAATAGAATAGCACTAGACATGATGCTAGCAGAAAAAGGCAGGGTTTGTGTTATGATTGGAACTCAATGTTGTACTTTTATCCCTGATAATACTGCCCCTGATTGAACTATAACAAAAGCATGACAAGGTCTTACTGCTTTATCAAATGAACTAGCTAAAAACTCTGGAATAAATGATCCTTTCACTAGCTTAATGGAAAGGTGGTTTGGTAAGTGGAAAGGACTCATGTCCTCAGTTCTCACCTCACTGGCTCTCATAATCAGTGTACTTATCCTTGTAGAATGTTGTATTATACCTTGCATTCGTGGATTAGTGCAAAGGCTTATTGAAAAGGCTCTTACCAAAACCCCTTTCAATTCTCCTCCCCTTACTCGGATAAGTTGTCCCTTCTAACTGATTAAGAAGAGTAACAAACTAAAGATATGTTAAGGAGATTTGAAGAGGAAGAACTGTAAAATCAAGAGGGGGAAGCTGTAAAGAATAAAAGTTCCTCTCCAAAGTTTTCCTTTTTGGTTTAACATAAGTGTTAAGAAGATAGTTCCTCTTAAAAGCTTTCTTTAAGTTTCCCTCACTCTTCATACTAACAAATCTTCTAATTTACTAATGACTCTTTATCGTGCTCCAAGTAGTTGTTACATACAGTAAATAAATAAACACATTCTATGTTCTTGTACTTGAACCAAGGCCTAACTCGTAGTCTGCCTGGATCTGACCAGACATGCCCAAACATGTCCCAGCTTGCAGCCTATGCCCTTTCCTTATTTAGAAATATTATTGTCTTCCTGGTTTCCCGTAAGCGACCCCCTCCTTTCCTTTGTTCTCCATTGCACCTTTACCTTTTTTAGGAAAGTTAAAGTTTTTAGTCAACCGGGATCAGTTTAGACTGCGCAGTCCAGCTCCAGCCAATGCAGACAGGACACAATAGTAGAAACAACTTGCGTTAGGAATAAAAACCCCTGCTTTCCCTTGTTCTGGGTGCTCTCATGGCAATCAGGCTTACAGGTAGCACCCTTCCACAGAAGTAAAAACTGCCTTGCTGAGAAATCCTTTGTTCAAGTGTTCGTTTTCTTTGTGACTTCAAGCTTAATTTCTAACAGACTCAAAATCAGAAACAAGAGAAACATTACAACTGATATTGCAAAAATACAAAAGACTGTCAGAGACTATTATGAACAATTCTGTACTGACAAACTGGAAAACCTGGAGGAAATGGATAAATTCCTGGAAACAAACAACCTACCAAGATTAAACTAGGAAGAATAGAAAACCTGAAGCCCTAACATCCATGAACCATTCTCACAGTGGTTCCAGTGGGCCCCTGACCACTCTGTGATTATTTCCTCAGTGCTGGTTTGCATAATTGAAACAGACCTACTCAGCAACAGGCAAAATCCACAGATCAGTTCCTTTTTTTAACTTTTATTTTCAGTTCAGGGGTACAAGTGCAGGCTGTTTTACGGGTAAACTTGTGTTGTGGGTGTTTGGTACACAGATTATTTAATCACCCAGGTTTTAAGCCTAGTACCCGTTACTTATTTTTCCTGATCCTCTTCTTTCTCCCACCCTCCACCTTCTGAAAGGCTCCAGTGTGTGCTATTCCCCTCTATGTCTCTATGCATTCTCATCATTTAGCTCCCACTTATAAGTGAGAACATGCAGTATTTGGTTTTCTGTTTCTGCATTAGTTTGCTAAGGATAACGGCTTCCAGCTCCATCCATGTCCCTACAAAGGACATGATCACATTCCTTTTTCTGGCTGCATAGTATTCCATGGTATACATGTATCACATTTTCTTTATCCAGTCTATAATTGATGAGCATTTAAGTTGATTCCATGTCTTTGCTATTGTGAATAGTGCTGCAATGAACATATGTGTGCCTATGTTTTTGTAATAGAATGATTTATATTCCTTTGGGTATAATGGTATTTCTGTCTTTAGGTCTTCGAGAAATCACCACACTGTCTTCCACAATGGCTGACCTAATTTGCACTCCCACCAACAGTGTATAAGTATTCCTTTTTCTCCACAACTTTGCCAGCATCTGTTATTTTTTGACTTTTTAATAATAGTCATTCTGACTGGTGTGAAATGGCATCTCACTGTGGTTTTGATTTGCATTTCTCTAATTATCAGTGATGTTGAGCATTTTTTCATGTTTGTTGGCTGCATGTATGTCTTCTTTTGAGAAGTATCTGTTCTTATGCTTTGCCCACTTTTTAATGGGGTTGTTTTGTTTTTTCTTGTAAATTTGTTTAAGTTCCTTATAGATATTAGACTTTTGTTGGATGCATAGTTTGCAAAAAGTTTTCTCCCACTCTGTAGGTTGTTTACTCTGTTGATAGTTTCTTTTGCTGTTCAGAGCTCTTTAGTTGAATTAGATCCCATTTGACAATTTTTGCTTTCGTTGCACTTGCTTTTGGCGTCTTTGTCATGAAATCGTTGCCCATGCCTATGTCCTGAATGGTATTGCCTAGGTTGTGTTAGGGTTTTTACAGTTTTGGATCTTACATTTAAGTCTTTAATTCATTTTGAGGTGATTTTGGTATATGGTGTAAGAAAGGGGTTCAGTTTTAATCTTCTGCATATGGCTAGCCAGTTATCCCAGCACTATTTATGAATAGGGAACCCTTTCCCCATTGCTTGTTTTTGTCAGGTTTGTCAAAGATCATAGTTGTAGGTGTGTGGTCTTATTTTTGGGTTCTCTATTCTGTTCCATTGCTCTATATGTCTGTTTTTGTACCAGTACCATGCTGTTTTGGTTACTGTAGCCTTGAAGTATAGTTGAAATCAGGTAGCATAGGCTGGACATGGTGGCTCTCACCTGTAATCCCAGCACTTTGGGAGGTAGAGGCAGGTGGATCATGAGGTCAGGAGTTTGAGACCAGTCTGGTCAACAAGGTGAAACCCATCTCTACTAAAGATATAAAAAATTAGCTGGGCGTGGTGGCACGTGCCTGTAATCCCAGCTACTCAGGAGGCTGAGAAAAGGAGAATCACTTGAACCCAGGAGGCGGAGGTTGCAGTGAGCTGAGATCACACCATTGCATCCCAGCCTGGACAACAGGGTAGAGACTCCGTCTCAAAAAAAAAAATCAGGTAGTGTAATACCTCCAGCTTTGTTCCTTTTGTTTAGGATTGCCTTGGCTATTCAGGCTCTTTTTTGGCTTCAGGTGAATTTTAAAATAGTTTTTTCTAGTTCTGTGAAGAATGTCAGTGGTAGTGGCCGGGCGCGGTGGCTCACACCTGTAATCCCAGCGCTTTGGGAGGCCGAGGCAGGCAGATCACGAGGTCAGGAGATCGAGACCATCCTGGCTAACAGGATGAAACCCTGTCTCTACTAAAAGTACAAAAAATTAGCTGGGCATGGTGGTGGGCACCTGTAGTCCCAGCTACTTGGGAGGCTGAGGCAGGAGAATGCCGTGAACCCAGGAGGCAGAGCTTGCAGTGAGCCGAGATCGCGCCACTGCCCTCCAGCCTGGGCGACAGAGCAAGACTCCATCTCAAAAAAAAAAAAAAAAGAATGTCAGTGGCAGTTTGACAGGAATAGCATTGAATCTATACATTGCTTTGGGCAGTATGGCCTTTTTCACAATATAGATTCTTCCTATCCATGGGCATAGGAAGTTTTTCCATTTGTTTGCATCATCTCTGATTTCTTTGAACAGTGGTTTATAGTTCTTCTTATAGAGACCTTTTACCTCCCAAGTTAGCTGTGTTCCTAGGTATTGTATTCTTTTTGTGGCATTTGTGAATGGGAGTTCTTTCCTGATTTGGCTCTCAGTTTGCCTGTTGTTGGTGTGTAGAAATGCTAGTAATTTTCTCACATTGATTTTGTATCCTGAGACTTTGCTGAAGTTGTTTATCAGCTTTAAAAGCTTTTGGGCTGAGACTGGGTTTTTCTAGTTATAGAATCATGTAAGCTGCAAACAGGAATAGTTTGACTTCCTATCTTCCTATTTGAATACCTTCATTTATTTCTCTTGCCTGATTGTCCTGACCAGAACTTCCAATACTATGTTGAATACGAGTAGTGAGAGAAGGCATCCTTGTCTTGTGTCAGTTTTCAAGGGAAATGCTTCCAGCTTTTGCCCATCAGTATGATGCTCGCTGTGGGTTTGTCATAATTGGCTTTTATTATTTTGAAGTGTGTTCCTTCACTATCTAGGTTATTGAGAGTTTTTTAAAACATGAATAGATGTTGCATTTTATCAAAAGCCCTTTCTGCATCTACTGAGATAATCATGTGGTTTTGGTCTTTAGTTCTGTTTGTATAACGAGGCACATTTTTAAATTTACACTTGTTGAACAAACCTTGCATACTGGGGGTGAAGTCTACTTGATTGTAGTGGATAAGCTTTTTGATGTGCTGCTGGATTCGGCTTGCCGGCATTTTGTCAAAGATTTTTGCATCGATGTTCATCAGGAATATTGGCTTGAGGTTTTCTTTTTTGTTGTTGTGGTATCTCTGCCACATTTTGGTATCAGGATGTTGCTGGCCTAATAGAATGAGTTAGGGAGAAGTCTCTCCTCCTCATTTTTTTTTTTTTTTGGAATAGTTTCAGTAGCAATGGTACCAGCTCTTCTTTGTACATCTAATAGAATTTGCCTGTCAATCATCTGGTTCTGGGTTTTTTTTGGTTGGTAGGCTGTTTATTACTGCCTTAATTTCAGAACTCATTATTAGTCTGTTCAGTGATTCAATTTCTTCCTGGTTCAGTCATGGAGGGGGCAGGTGTATGTATCCAGGAATTGATCCTTGTCTTCTAGATTTTCTAGTTTATTTGCATAGAGGTGTTCATAATATTTTCTGGTGGTTGCTTGAATTTCTGTGGGGTCAATGGTAATGTCCCTCTTATTGTTTCTAATTGTGTTTACTGGAATCTTCTCTCTTTTCTTCTTTACTAGCCTAGCTAGGGGTCTATTGATTTTATTAATTTAAAAAAAACCTAGGCGAGGAGCGGTGGCCTCACGCCTATAATCCCAGCACTTTGGGAGGCTGAAGCAGGCAGATCACCTGAGGTCAGGAGTTCAAGACCAGCCTGACCAACATGGAGAAACCTCATCTCTATTAAAAATACAAAAAAATTAACCGGGCATGGTGACACATGCCTATAATCCAAGCTACTCGAGAGGCTGAGGCAGGAGAATCACTTGAGCCTGGGAAGCGGAGGTTGCAGTGAGCTGAGATCGCACCACTGCACTCCTGCCTGGGTAACAAGAGTGAAACTCCATCTCAAAAAAAACAAAAACAAAAACAAAAACAAACAAACAAAAACAAAACCAAAACAAAACAGAACAAAAACTCCTGAATTCGTAGATCTTTTGAGTGGTTTTTCATGTCTCTGTCTCCTTCAGGAGACAATACCTTTGTTAATTTTTTATTATTACGTCTTGTCTTCTGCTAGCTTTGGGATATGTTTGCTCTTTGTTCTCAAGTTCTTTTGGTTGTGATTTTAGGTTGTTAACTTGAAATCTTTCTAACTTTTTGATGTGGGCATTTAATGCTATAAATTTCTCTCTTAACACTGCCTTCACTGTTTCCCAGAGATTCTGGTACGTTGTATCTTTGTTCTTATTATCTTCAAAGAACTTCTTGATTTGTGCCTTAATTTCATTATTTACCCAAAAGTCATTCAAGAACAGGTTATTCAATTTCTATGTAATCGTATGGTTTGAGTGAATTTCTTAGTCTTTATTTTGAATTTGATTGCACTGTGGTCCAAGTGTTATGATTTCAGTTCTTTTGCATTTGCTGAGGAGTGTTTTACTTCCAATTGTGTGATCGATTTTAGAGTAAGTGCCATGTGACAATGTGAAAAATGTATATTCTGTTGCTTTGGGGTGAAGACTTCTGTAGATATTTATCAGGTCCATTTGATCCAGGGCTGAGTTCAGGTCCTGAATATCTTTGTTAATTTTCTGTCTTGATGATCTGTCTAATATTGTCAGTGGAGTATTAAAATCTCTTACTACTATTGTGTGAGATTCTAAGTCTCTTTGAAGGTCTCTAGGAACCTACTTTATGAATCTGGGTGTTCCTGTACAGGATGCATATATATTTCAGATAGTTAGATCTCCTTGTGGAATTGAACCCTTTACCATTATGTAATGCCCTTCTTTGTCTTTTTCTATCTTTTTTGGTTTAACAACTGTTTTGTCAGAAACAAGGGTTGCAACCCTGGCTTTTTTTCTGCTTTCCATTTGCTTGGTAAATTTTCTTCCATCTTTTTATTTTGAGCCTATGTACGTCATTGCGTGTGAAATGGGTATATGGAAGACAGCATACTGATAAGTCTTGGTTCTTTATCCAGCTTGCCACTCTATGTCTTTTAAATGGGGCATTTAGCCCATTTACATTTAAGGTTAGTATTGATATGTATGGATTTGATCCTGTCATCATGATGTTAACTAGTTACTTTGCAGACTTGCTTATGTGGTTGTTTTATTGTGTCACTAGTCTGTGTACTTCATTGTGTTTTTGTAGTGACTGGTAACTGTCTTTCCATGTTTAGTGCTTCCTTCAGGAGTTCTTGTAATGCAGGTCTGGTAGTCATGAATTCCCTTGGCATTTGTTTGCCTGAAAAGAATCTGATTTCTCCTTTGCTTATGAAGCTTAGTTTGGTTGGATATGAAATTCTGGGTTGGAAACTCTTTTCTTTAAGAATGTTGAATATTGGCCCTCAATCTCTTCTGGCTTATAGGATTTCCACTGAGAGATCCACTGTTAGTCTGATGGGCTTCCCTTTGTAGGTGATCTGGCCTTTCTCTCTGGATACCCTTCATATTTTTTCTTTCATTTTAACCTTGGAGCATCTGATGATTATTTATCTTGGGGATGATCTTCTCATGGAGTAACTTACTGGGGTCCTCTGCATTTCTGAATTTGAGTGTTGGCCTGTCTAGCTAGGTTGGGGAAGTTCTCATGGATCATATCCTGAAATGTTTTCCAAATTGGTTCCATTCTCCCCATCTCTTTCAGGTACACCAATCATTCATATATTCAGTTTCTTTACATAATCCCATGTTTTTCAGATGTTTTGTTCATTCCTTTTCATTCTTTTTTCTCTAGTCTCGTCTTCTTGTCTTATTTCAGAAAGCCAGTCTTCAAGCACTGAGATTCTTTTCTCCACTTGCTCTATTCTGCTATTAATACTTGTGAGTGCACTATGAAATTCTTATAGTGTGTTTTTCAGCTCTGTCAGGTTGGTTATCAAATTCTTTTGCTGATTTCTTCTCATCTTTGTGGGCTTATCTACCCTCAATGTTTGAGGTTGCTGACCTTTGAGTGGATTTTTTTTTCTCTTCTTTTGTTTTCTCTTTTAACAGTCTGGCCACTTTTCTGCAGGGCTGCTACAGTTTGCTGGGGGCCTGCTCCAGTCCCTAGTTGCCTCAGATTTTCCAGTACCTGAAGGTATCACCAGTGAAGGCTATGTAACAGGAAAGATGGCAGTCTGCCCCTTCTTCTGGGAGGTCTGTTCCAGGAAAAGTACAGACCTGTTGCTAGCCTGAACACACCTGTAGGAGGTGCTGGAGACCCTGGTTGGGAGATCTTGCCCAGTCAAGAGGAACAGGATCAGGATCTAGAGGTTTACAAAAGGAGGAATGCTCCTACAGGAGACACAGAAATGAACCATTCAGGTGGAAGCTAAGACAGCCACCTGGGCCCTTCAGCTCCTCATAATTCTGAATCAACAAAGGAAGGAGTTACTGCACTGTCTGGGGTGATTGGTCTTGGTCATCAGGGGGAATTGGTCAGCTACTACACAATGGCGGTAAATAGGACTATGTCTGGAACACAGGAGGTCTTTTAGAGCATCTCTTAGTAATACTCTGCCCTATAACTAAAGTCAATAAAAACTACAACAACCCAGGTCAGGTAGGACTACTAATGACCCATACCCTTCAGGAATGAAGGTTTAAGTCATTCAAGCAGGAAAAGAAACCTGATCAGCTGAGGGACTTGCTGAAAGCAATGGGAATATGGGATGGTTAGTGAAAAACAACAAAAAAGTATTTATAAATACTAGTTGTGGCCAGCACAGTGGCTCATGCCTGTAATCCCAGTACTTTGGGAGGCTGAGGCAGGTGGATTGCTTAAGTCTAAGAATGTGAGACCAACCTGAGCAAAATGCTGAAACTGCATCTCTACTGAAAATAAATACAAAAAATTAGTTAGACTTGGTGGTGTGCTTGTAGTCCCAGCTACTTAGGAGGTTGAGGTAGGAGGATCACTTGTGCCCAAGAGGTAGAGTTTGCAGTGAGCCAAGGTAATGCCACTGCACTCCAGCCTGGGCAACAGAACAAGACCCTGTCTCAAATAAATAAATAAATAAATAAATAAATAAATAAATAAATAAATAAATAACCAGCTGTAACCATGTGAGAACTTACAGAAATAAAGACAGTAAACGTTATCAGCATTACTTCTTTATGTTTTTATAATGATATTTATGTCTGTGTGTATGTATCCTTACATGTATTGAGCAAATACCTTTCTTTTCATCTTTCCTGATCATCTGTAATAAAACATAAGATGTGCTAACAATAATTCCCTTTTATTAATAAAAGTTAACTTTTATTACGCATGGTATTTAGGTTACAGTATATCAAAGAGAATCTTTTTCTGTGGAAAGGGTTAGTGTGTTTCTAGTTGGATGCAAGTTAATTGTATCATCTTTGGCAAAAGTAAGACTTTATAGCTGTTTTTATTTGGAGACGAAGTAAGGTTTAAGGAAAATGTTAGTGGGTGCCAAGTTCACAAGCATGGACTGGGATGGTGGGTCTTATGTGTCAATTTTACCAAACCATAGCACCTAGTTATTTAATCAAACACTAAATTTATATGTTGATATGATGGTGTTTTGCAGTTGTGATTAAAATCTGATATCAGTTGATTTCATGAAAAGGAAATTACCCTAAAAAATGTGGGTGGGACTTTTTGAATCACTTGAAGGCCTTTGGGCGAAATGTGAGTCTTCCCAGAGAAGAAAAAATTCTGCTTCAAGATGACAGTAGCAACTACACTTTAGGTTTCCAATCTGCCAGCCTGGTCTACAAATTTTAGATTGAAGGCTGCAACATTATGACTTTCCAGCCTTCCAGCCTGCTGAGGTGTAATTTGTGACGTCAATAACGTAAAATGAGGGGTGGGAAAAGATGTAAAGAAGCAGAGTTTCATATTGATTTCAGTTCAAGATTGTTATAACTGTATTGTTATATATAATACCACAGTAATCACACAAAAAAATACATAAAATATACACAAAAGAAAATGAGAAGGCAGTTAAAACATATCACTAGAAAAAAATCGACTAAATGAAAAATGACTAAAAACAAAAGAAGGTTTGAATGAAGGAGATGAGGGACGAAACAGCTATAAGACATGCATAAAACCAACATCACAATTACAGAAGTAAATCCTTCCTTATCAGTAATTACTTTAAATGTAAACGTAAATGGATTAAACTCCCCAATCAGAATTCAGAGATTATCACAATGGATAGAATAAAAAGAATCTGGCTGGGCACAGTGGCTCACACTTGTAATCCCAGCACTTTGGGAGGCTGTGGCGGGCGGATCACGAGGTCAGGAGTTTGAGACCAGCCTGGCCAACATGATGAAACCCCTGTCTCTACTAAAAATAGAAAAAAATTAGCCGGGCATAGTGGCAGGTGCCTGTAATCCCAGTTACAAGGGAGGCTAAGGCAGGAGAATTGCTGGAACTGGGGAGGCAGAGGTTTCAGTGAGCTGAGATCATACCACTGCACTCCAGCTTGGGAAACAGAGTGAGACTCCGTCTCAAAAAAAAAAGATTCTCACTTTGGATCTAACGACACTCGGAAGTTGAAATTGGAAGGATAGAGAAGGATATTCATGAAAATAGTAACTAAGAATTTTTAATGATCTCTCATAGGGTTCTATGTGTTGGCTGGGTTCAGATGATGGCCTGAGAGTGTTACATGGTCCAGGGATTGAAATGGAAGGAACCAGATGCAGGCAGGATGGTTAACAGCAGTGCCCAGAACTGACACAAGCATACTTCTGCCGTATTCTATTGGGTAGCGCAAATATCAGATCTGCTTATGTTTAAAGAGTGGAGAGACCTTACCTCTTGATGAGGGAGTGGTGGGTCAAACTAAAGAAAAGCAAGTGTGATGGAAGATATTTAGATATTTTTGCAGCTGTCTTTGGAAAATACATGCAATCCAAAACATCCTGTCTGCCAGAAAGGAAGAACACCATCACGCCTTACCCCTCCAGTCTAAGCCCTGTGATTCTATAGTATCCTGGGGAAGGATCATGTCTTAGGAAGCAGGTGGGGAGTCGAAGCTCTAAATAAAGCCCCATCTACAGCCACAATTTCACTTTATTTTGATGAAATTTTGTGTCATTTTCGATAAAATGGGGGCTCACAAATCTCTCTTCAGGGATCTCTCCAGTGGCGGGGATGGTACACTTCCCTCTCCACAGTTCTACTTTATAGATAAGTGGAACTAGATCTCAGTTTCAATTATTTAAAACACCAGAGACTTGGATGCATGCATGTCACAAAAAGGTGAAAGAATGCTCTGTCACTTTCCCTTCTCTCACTCACTGCACCCTGAACAAGAACCTGCTCTACCTTGTCCTTTCGAATGGGGAGGAGGATCGCACTCCAGCCTAACCTTCACGCTTCCAGAGATAAACCCGCTGCCCAAACAGCATGGTTCATTATAAAGACCAAACCCTACACCAAGAGCTCTCCCCTTATCCACCATGGCAGAAACTGAATCCCATGGAAAGGCCTAGAACATTCTGGCTCAAAAGGACCAGTGTCATGTCCCTTCCACCAAAATGAAGCCAACATATTCATTACAATATGGGGTATTGATAAGGATATCAAAATGATTACCACCAAAATTTGACAAATATGTTCTTTTTATTACATCAACTTTTTTGTCCTCCAAATACAAAGAAAATAAGCCAGCACAGCAGGAGAAGTTGTTCCCCTGGGAAAGCATCCTCTTTCCAGTTGAAAGGCTGGTACCGGAATCACTAGAATGGAGCAAGGCTTTCTGGTATGACACAGCACCAGGTCTTGGGGCAGCCAGAGTTAGGGAGGGCTCACCTTCTGGGTGACACCAACCTTTGGCTCTCCGTTTTTTTATTCTCATTGCAAGAACAAAATTTCAGAGTATCAAGAGCCAAAGAGATTTACTCTATTTTATTCTTTAGAAAATGCAATCTCAAGGATAATCAGACTGTTATGGGCTAAATTGTATCCCCCCAAAATTGGCATGTTGATGTCCTAACCCCCAGTACCTGAGAAAGTGACTGCATATGGAGAGGTCTTTAAGGAGGTCATTAAGGTAAAATGAGGTCATATGAGTGTGCCCTAATTCAATGTGACTAGTGTATTTATAAAAAGAGAAGATTAGACACAGACAGATACGGAGGAATGACCATGTGAAGACATAGAGAGAACATATCTACAAGCCAAGGAAAGAAGCCTTAGAAGAAATCAGCACTGCCAACACCATGATCTTAAACTTCCAGCCTCCAGAACTGTGAGACAATGAATTTCTGTTGTTTAAGTCACCCAGCGTGTGGTACTTTGTTATGGCAGCTCTAGCAAATTAAAACAAACATATTATACTGCCCAATGGAGAGTTTTACCTGACTTCTCTCTGGTTCCAATTCAATCAAGGTCTATATGCTCTGGGACCTCTCC
The DNA here is from genome assembly GCF_000001405.40 of Homo sapiens. Taxonomy (NCBI): domain Eukaryota; kingdom Metazoa; phylum Chordata; class Mammalia; order Primates; family Hominidae; genus Homo; species Homo sapiens. The sequence goes on along the minus strand of NT_167249.2, from coordinate 2,620,033 downwards.
AGCTCCTCATGAAAAATGACAAAGAATGCCATGTCCAGCTCCTGGGGTCCCTGATGGCAGTAAGAGGCAGCTCCTAATGGGGGAAGCTTTGGGGTGACCAAGGCCTCATAGACTTCATCACTGTTGGGCCACTTGGCTTCAGTCCCCTGACCACAATGGATCCATGGGCCTGGATTCACCTCTGACATTCGTGTCTTTTTTTTCCACAAGTGGTCTCTGGTAGAGATGGAGGGAAAGGACACAGGGATTCAAAATCCTGACTATCCTAGTGTCCTCCCCTCACTTCCACTCAGAGACAACACGGCCATTTCTCTAAACTCCTGAGGACGTGGCCAACATAAGTAATGGAGCACGGGGAGGTGCCTTGAACAGAGCTCCATGGAAGGGTGGCTGGTGCCCTCTAGACCCTTTGTCTATACGTGCTGGGCTTCTTTAGCATGAAATGTCCCAGAGGCAGCCACATTCTGTGCTTGGATCCTCAAACCAAAGTGTGTGAGGGTCTTAGCCCTGGCCAAATGAGCACTGAATTCAAGAGAGACCAGGAAACCTTCTGAATATTGGGACACTTTATTCCTGAATCCTGAATCCTGGAAGCTGGCTTCTGGCCAGGGAGGCAGGTGTCATTATATCTGGGCTGCCTCTCTGAGGCCTCTTTTCCATCTGCCTTTCACATCTTTCTACCCCTGTTAATCCCAGAACAGATAGAAACATTCTGCCTTCTTAGATGCCTCTTGCTACAAATTTCAATGCCATTTGATTGAATTAATAAATGAAAGCAACTTTAATACACGATGAGGTTTAAAGAATGGTATTTGACATGGGTTTAGAATGAATAAATGGATCAAGTAATGAATTTTGAAAAAATTCATGTAAAATTTATTTTTAACCATTTTATTAACTTGACTGTGGAATTAATAAATGATTCCAAATTAATACAAAAAAGTGCAATCACAAATGTATGAACGTGCAGAAGTGTGAATGAGGGGCAATGCACACAAGAAAAAAGGTGTGCACAGGAAGAAATTCTTCATTCCAGGTTTTTACTGATCCCTCTGGTCAAGATGGGCTAAAAGTCTAAAAATCTGCTTTCCTCACATGGTCAAATGATTCAGCATAAAATACAACTGACTGAACACAATTATCAATGCTTTAAATATATTAGAAAAAATCAATAAGGAAAAATAATCCTACCATCACTAAGATTTTAAGTTATAATAAAATAAAGCCTAGAAACGTATCGTTTGTTCCCAATTCCAATGATTATAGGATTGCAGCGTTTGGCTTTCAAAAGACCATTTAAAACAACTCAGGGAAGTTTTCTTAACAAACTCTATAGCAGGACCACAGCTAAACCTATGAGTAGTAGTAGAAGTAAACAATGACACTGTCTTTAAAATTTCATTTTGAAAAACATGTTTGAAAGTGGCTGACTGGCTCCTAATTTAACCACTACCATTTGAAGTCATATGTTAGATTGGCAAAGTCATCGTAATTTTTATGTATTTTATTTTTGTAATGCAAGTGCTTCACTCTGCTATCTGATAAAAGAAAATATCAAGCCAGGCATGGTGATGCATGCCTTGTAGTCCCAGCTACTCAAGAGCCTGAGGCAGGAGGTTCCTTCAGCCCAGGAGTTCAAGGCTGCAGCAAGCTATGATGGTGCCACTGCACTCCAGCCTGGGCAACAGAGAATACAATTTTAATGTAAAATTTTAGTGTTAGGAGTTCAACCTTGAACTGATTCTGTGAGATCCTATTTGAGAGAAGCTGTTGTGTACAATGAAGTTTGGGGAATATCAACAAGAAGTAAATGCCTACCTTGTTTCTAGTTTACAAACTAAAAGGAAATTCCATAAACTTTTAATGCTAAGCTAAATCATTGTAGAATGAATGACAAAAAAATTATCCTACAAAACATAACCAGTTGCTAGATACATTTGAACATTAATTAGAAAAAAGATGAATGAAAGACATGTTTTAGGAATAAAAACTACAAAAGAACTGTAAAAGCTTATCACGCCCTTGGCTGGAGTTACGCAAAGTTACTACTCACCCGTAAATTGGGATTAGCATGGTGGCTACTTCTTAAAGTTGATACAAGGATTAAATGTGTTTTAATGCATCAAAAGCATCTAGAAAAGTGCCTGAGACGTAGTAAGTGCTAAAGTCTCTCTACGTAAATAAAAAATATATAAAAGTGATGCTAAATTCAAGATTCTGATCCTCTGTACACACCCAATGTGTTTAAAATTCTGTTCATCTTCCCTTCCACATTCACAGTGAAATGTTTCTGATTAATTTAACAGGCTGTGTGAGGTGTTCATCATCTTTTACATTAAACTTGGTACATTGTACAACACTCTTATATTGTGATAATTTACCAAGCTAACACAGGCTTACCTTGTTTTTAATCCTTTTCACACACAGCATAGAATTATATTGCTATATTTTTAAATTTCAGATGATTTGAAAAATATTTACACTATAGTAGCCAAACAGTAATAATTATAAGCAACTTGGATAAAACATTTGAAATTAGAGAACTATATTTAGAATAAATTTCTCACCTTACAGAAAAATTTCCCATTGAAAACCCCTTTATTTCGCATACAAATAAGAATTCAGCATGTTTTTCTATACCCAGAGAGAACAGAGATAAACAGGGTCCTTTCATGTGGTTTGGGTATTTTATTAGATGCTGAGTTCAAGAAAGTCTCACCCCTGAAGAAGCTGAAATTCCATTTTTCTTCGAAATGGGGTCTTTTCAAAGTTAGTAACAATGAAGCTGTCATTCACACGATGCATGGCTGAACAAAAAGACAGAGACAGCGGGTGCTGCATTTTGTTTTTGTAATGTTGCCTTGTCCACAAGACACTATTTACACTTAAATCAATTAAAATTATATTAATTTTAAAAGTCAGTTTTCCCAGTTTCTCATTTGTACTAGCCACATTTCAAATACTCAGAATTCATGGGTGGCCGGTGACTGACGTAATGAACAGCACAGATATAGGCATTCCATCACTACAGAAGGGAGCTGGACAGCAGTGTGCCAATGTTTTAAGGACAGAATCCTGAGTAGAATTATAGGATGATGACAATTCCGAGTTCCCATTCCAATTCATGGTCTCTTCTCTGATGAGTGGTGTAGGGGGAAATCCATCTCTTTTGTGAGTAAAGGTTAATTTTTCCAACTACAGATAAATAATTAACATTACTTTTTTTAAAACCAGTTTTACACTGTTAAGTTACAACCAAAAGTGAAGGGCTTGAATTACATTTACATTTTAACACATGGTTTTAAAGGGAAGATCCGTGTGAAAAAGAAACAAAACTCAGAAAAAAAACCCAGAAGTTTTCATACCAGTTCCCATAGCAATAACAATCCCTTTTCTGTCGTTAGAGTTCACCCTCATTCTGATTTCATAGTAATCCTGTTCATGTCTTTCTTTAAAGCTTTACCCCATGCATATATTTCTAAAACAACACAGGTTATCTCAAACTTTATATAAATTTTGAATTTTTCATACAAATGGAATCATGCTGTGTATATTCTTACAAGACCTCATTTTAGATCAAATGTATGTTTGCTAAGTTTTTATAGGTGTCTGTAGAGTATTCATGTTTATTATTTGTAACATTTCATTGAATAAATACATCATATATTAAATTAACCCTTCTCTCGTTTATGGTCATTTCATTTGTTGTCAGATTTTTTAAAATTACAAGCAATGCTGTTACAAGCCTTCTAGCACTAGTCTGTTGGCACAATGGGCACATATCTGTCAAAATTATACACCTAGGAGTGGAGTTACTGGTATATGTGTATGATATCCCACTCAAAGAGATGATGCCACACTGCTAGATAAAGTGGCTGTGGCAAGCAATGTGTGGTAGATCTTGATGGTCTGTATTCTCATCAGTGTTTGGAAAACTCAGTAATTTTAATATAGAAATTCTAGTGCATTTTTCAAAATATCTCATTATGTTTTCCTCATTAAACTTTATTGAGATATAAATCACATACTACTCACCCAACTAAAGTATACAATTCAATGGTTTTTCACATATTCAGAGTTTTAAATCTGCATATTTAATTTTAGAATATTTTCATCATCCCAAGATAATCCACGGCTTTATAATATGTCTCTCTATACAATGAAGTAAATCCATAAATTTTGAGTTTTCACTTCAGGAGTGTTTTTTCTATCATTGGCAACTTTCCTAGCTTGACAGGCACCTTTCCAAGTACCTTTAACAATTTTATTTTTAATAGAGATTTCATTCAGTAATCAGATTTGGAGAGCACTGACAAATTTTGCCACATTGAGACTTATAATTCATGAACATGTAATGTTTACTTATTAAATACTCTTAAATAAAGTATTGCTGGTTTTACTTGTGCATCTTTTAGTAGATTTATTCCAAAGATCTTGAAATATGGTGCTAGTGTTCACAGTATCTCTTTCTTTGTTGAATTTCAGTGTTGGTTGTGGTATGTATAAATATAAATAATTTTATATAGTTTTAATTCAATGACTTTGCTTAAAGCTTTTATTAATTCATGTAGTTGATATATTCTGTTGCCTGATTGCACTAGCTAGGAAATCCAGTGTGATTTTGAGTGCAATGGAGAGGGCAGGTCTGCTGGTATCTTCTCTGTGCACTCCTGATCCACGCTCCATGTACTCTCCCTGCTCCGTGTCCTGGACACTGTGCTGCATGGCCTGCTGGACCACAAAAGGCAGCCTTGCTTTCTGGCTTTTATTTGGGATCGGCTAAATGGGAGCATCATCACGGAGAGAGTGATGAGGAGCACTGGTTGGAGGGATTTCTCCCCATAGCTTTCAGTATTGACATAGGGAGAAATGAGATGTGATTGGCCTGGATTCATCAATATGGGATCTTCACCCAGTATCTTAGATTAAATGTGTTATTTTGAACACCTAAGAGTGATGTTAATAGTCAGCCAGGTTAGCTAATTAAAACCCGAATTCAACTGTGGCCTAGCACAGTGTTTCTCAAATTCGACTGCGCTTTCCATCACGTGGGAGATTTTAAATAGCCCCAGGTCTAGATCAACATGTAAAACCAATGAAATCTAATTCATCAAAAGTAGGATCCTGGAAACAGTATTGTTCCTAAAACTCTCCAGGTTTGACTCCAATCAACAGCCAAGTTAAAAACTAGTAGCTCAAAGCAGTGGTTCTCAATATTTGGTATGTATCAAAATCATCTGGGAATTGTAGCAAAACTACACAGGCCCAGATATTATTCTAATTTAACAGGCTAGAGCCTTGAGTTTATTAAAACAAATCATCTCTCCAGATTTTGCTATATGCAACAGTTTGTGAAAACCACTAGCCTATATCAACAGAATCCCTATCACAGGCATACTGCAGAGGAAAGTGTCTGAACACAGCTCAGAGAGACGGAAAAGTGGGAATGTATCCATTATGTGCAACCTACTTAACATCTCCTAACCACATCTCCCGGGAGGGCTGAGAGGATGCCCCCCTTACCAAGGCATTAAGGTGCCACATGACACATACAGGTATAAAAACTGCTAGGTCTGCTGAGCAGTCACCAACCTTGAGTCCTGGATATTCAGAAATTCTTATCCAGTAGCTACACCAAAGCCAGCTGATATGTCAGAGCCCCTCAAATAAGCAGAAGGCTGGTGCCCTTGAGAAAGGACCCTATAATTCACTCTGAGATAAATTCTTTTTACAGGACTTTCCCAGAGGAACATTTAGTCATTTATCGCTGTCCACTGGGGAATGGAAAACCCCAAATAATCTGGGAGCTCAACTTTAATGTCTTTAATCCTGTCAAAGATTACCCTGGGGTTAATACTTTGTTGTAACCTGCATAAAAATCTTTCCCTACACTAAAGTAATGAAGATATTCTACTATATTACTGTAAAGAGATGAGTACAATCACATTTTTTTACAAGAGATGAGTACAATTGCATTTTTCCAGATAGATAACCAATTGTTGTTAAATTATTTTCTAAATCGTTTTCCTTTACCCACTGATCTGTAATGTTGCCTCTGCTCTACATACGTTCAGGGCTTTCTATTCTGTTCCCAAGTTCTAGTTTACTACCCTGTCTCAACATCTCGACTCTCTTAATTAAAATAACTCTAACATAAGTCTTAATATCTGCTAAGGAAATTCTCTCTGCTTATTATTCTTATTTAGAGTGTCATAGCTACTTTTTCTCTTTCATATTTCAATATAAGGCTTAAAATTGGCTTACTATGTGTTGCAAAAATGCTTGATAAACATTTAATTGAGATGTGTTTGAGTTCTTAGAGTACTGTAGGAAATTAATGTCATTATTATATTGAACCATCCAAGCCAGGATCCTGGTAAATTGATTCAGTTAATTCACTGTCTTCTTTAATTACTGTCTTCTATTATTACTCAGTAGGGTTTTTTAAATATCCCAATTGATATCTTGTACAGAATTTGTTAGGTTTAGTTTTAGAAGTTTATATGTACGCACTTTTGCTGAATCAATTTTTTTAAATTTTCATTTTATATCTGTGCAAAACAGCTCTATAATTTCTTCTACCTACCAAGCAAAAATATCTTATTAACTTCCGGATCACGAGGTCAGGAGATCAAGACCATCCTGGCTAACATGGTGAAACCCCATCTCTACTAAAAATACAAAAAATTAGCCGGGCATGGTGGCGGGCGCCTGTAATCCCAGCTACTCGGGAGGCTGAGGCAGGAGAATGGCCTAAGTAAATCTGGGAGGCGGAGCTTGCAGTGAGCCGAGATCTCGCCACTGCACTCCAGCCTGGGCGACAGAGTGAGACTCCGTCTCAAAAAAAAAAAAAAAAAAAAAATATATATATATATATATATATATTTATATATATATGTATCTTATTAACTTCAAGAGTGTTCTAATCATTTGTATTTTCTGCATTCAGCATAAGAGTTTTGTGCCTTCTTTTCAAACCTTTTTAAGTGTATTTCTTTTCTTCTTTATGACACTGGGAAGATCCTCAATTACAATTTTTAATAAGAGCAGTGAAAACTGCTGGACCACTCAAACAAAAATTGAGCTGCCACTCCTGAGAACTGACTGTGTTGCTCTTATGGATCAGCCCTTTGGGACCCATCCTAATCCCAGGGATTTACAGTGCCACATATGCACCCGCAGCCTTTAGATGTAGGCTTTATCCACCTAGCCCTCAAAGGTCTCAGACACTGCCCAGAGCAGCCAACATCACCCAGGACAAAAGCAACCCTGCAGCTCAACTTGCTCTTCTAGATTTCTGCCTTCTCCTGGTTCCTGGCCTGGCAAATCTTTACTGCTTGGTTAGCCCCTTCATACTTTCCATCAGATTTTTCAAATATGTACCCTTTTCCCACTTGTCCAGTAGTACTCAATGGGAGGGATGATCCAAATTACATAATTAATAATTGCTGAAAACTAAAGTACAATGTACAATTTTTATGTCAATGTCACATGCCAAGGGAGAAAATGCATAGGTATCAGTAGTGACTACTTAAGCATGTGTAACTTAGAGGTAATAAAAACAAAAATGTTAGGTAATATCTATCTATTCCAGATTAAAATCTACATCAATAAATTCAAACTTCTAGGAAAAATATCTGCATATGTAATATATGACTGTGACTCCGATAGACGAACGTGGGAATATAGTATGAAGATACTTCTCATCGTCTTCACTCTGTGAGGCAGTCAGTGTGAAATGAGAACCAGGGATTCAAAATGTGTTGCAAGACTATGAAAAGCACTAGAGTAAGTTCTACACAAATAAAGCAATCTCCTCATAAATTACACTGGGCTTATCTGTGAGATGCATGCCCTTATCAAAATGGAGTTAATTCTAGGTAGGTGATCTTGTTTAAATAAAATGGTCTCTGACTCACTAGCTACTGGTCCACCATCGGTTTTTCCCTTTACTAAAAGGGAGGCCCCACACTGAGCCAGCATTTCCCAAGAGGAGGTCTCTTGCTGACATCAACTTCCAACAGGGTAAATTTTCATGGGAACCCAAAGAGAAGAGGAAGACCTCAAGAAAAAGGGCCTAAAGAAATGACAAGAATGATAACATTTTACACTTTTATTGTGCTATGTGTCAAATAGTGGTCTTCGCACTTTAAAAATGCCAATTCATTTTATTCTGACTACACATCCATGGCTTGTGCCTGTTATTTTTCCCTTTCATAGTTAATGCCATAGGAATGAAGATCACACAAAAGTAGGGATGGAGCCGGGTTTGCACCCAGACAATTCTGCCCCAGGGCCATGCTCACACCACTGCACTTTTCCAGAATGTGAGGGTGGGCGGAGAGTCCAGCTCAGGGAGAGAGATTGGAGTGAGAGAAGAAGGAGAGGGGGCCGACTGGATCACTGTGATGGTCTGGACCCACAATTCCAGGAGAGAAAGACAAGGATTATGTCACTCAGGGAAAATATCCAAAGTCTCTGGTTTGGCATCTCCAGCTCTAGGACAGGTGGCTGGTGGGAAGACAAACTAAGCCAAAGCCACAGCTCTGAAGATTTCCCTCTCCTGAGAATTCTGCAGGGGTTTCCCTGACCTCATGGCCACCTCTCACCCTTGGCTCTTGTTTTTCCCCCAGGACTGATAAGGGCGTCCAGATGGGACGCCTTTATCAGTTGGTATCGGGTTCTAGAGAAGCCATCAGAGTCAGTGGAGGATGAGCTTCATAAAGTGGGAGATCTCCAGGATCCTTCCTGGACTCCAAGATACCCAGAGAAGCCGGATCCTGTGTCCCGGAACCCCCTTCCTGTTCCTCTGTGGGCCCTGACCTTGGGGAGAACGGGGCTGGTGAGAAGATCAGGATGAACTGGGCTGGGGAGGCAAGAGGGAAAGGGCGGCTTGGAGGGCTTAGTAGCTCCTCTCGCGGCGCCTCCGTCCCGGGCTGGGATCTGCAGACTCCTCAGGTCACTTCTCCCAGAGCCACCGCCCCAAGCCACCCTCCCCTGGTTCCCGTCCCTCTGTCCCCTCCCCAGCTCCCCCCACACAGTAAGAAGCTCCCAAGTGAGCGGCTCCGGTGCCGGGCGGGACGTGGGAGGGAGGCTGTGTCCCCGCGGGGAGGCAGGGCGACGGCGTCCAGGAGAGAGGGGAGCGGGGCGGGGTCCCAGGCACCCTGCGCCTCTCCCGCCCGCAATGTGTAGGTTCCCGGAGCCCAGGCCCGCACCCCGGGTACTTGAAGGCCGCCGGGCTCCGCCTTCACCACGTGGGCCCTGAGTTCCTCAGCGGCGCCTTCGTGGGCGACACGCGATTCCTGAGCTTCCACAGCCGCGGCGAGAATCAGAGCGTGAAGCGCGGGTGGAGAAGATGGCACAGGGCTGTGGGCGCCCTGAGGAAAATTCTCGAAGACCGCAGGGAATGTGTTACTGAGGGGCCTGAGGTTCCTGGGCCCGCACCACCACCAGGGTCAGCCGGTGAGTGACCTCAGACTCCGGGCACAGGTGTGCCCCGCCCCGACCCCAGAGTGACCAGCCCGGTTCTCCCAGGGATGGGGGGTCGGGGCCTCAGCTGATCCCTCTCAGGTGGGGAAGCGCTGGGGCCATTTTGCTCCAGGTTTCTCCTTCAATCTGGATCATGACTGACTTGTTCTGTGACCAATGACAGAGGAAGGAAGGAGCTGGGGTGGGCGGGGCGACCTCCCTCCCCTCCCTGGCCCCGCCTCCGGCTCACCCTGGGGCAGGTCCAGAGTACCGCACCTGCAGATGCTGCTGTCTGGCTGGGTGGTGGCTCCGGACAGGAGCTTCCTCGAAGGACACTTTAAGTCCGCCTACGACAAGGAGATTTCATGTCCCTGAACGAGGACCTGCAGACCTGGACAGCGGCTCAAAGAGCGGCTTGGAGGATCCATCACACCTGGGAGAGGTTCTGGACCGCGGAGGCCACAAGGGAAGCCCCGATGGGTCACTGCACTAGGTGGCTGCTCAGACACCTGGAGCATGGCAAGGAGATGATGCTACCGGCAGGTACTGGGGTCCTCCAGGCCCCACGTCAGGACCTCTTGGAGCTGGAATTATGTTCCTTGGAGGCATCCATATTTGAGGAAAGAGGAGACCGAACAGTCTCCGTCTCCTCCTCCTCCTCCTCCTTCTCCTCCTCCGTCGCCGCCTCCTCCTCCTCCTCCCTACTGCGGGGTTGGGGATTCTGGCTCAGGCTCCTGAGGCTCTCCCATGGGTGGGTGGGGAGGGAGGACAGAGAAGAAGGAGTGCAGGGAGGTAAATAGGAAAGGACAGTAGTTACCCTTGTCAACAGTGATGTACTTGGGTCTAGCTTCACCGGGAATCTTTTTCTTTCCTGGTCCTCTGTGCCCAACAATTACATATAATCTTTAACCCAACCAGAAGATAAAACACCAGGAAACGGAATCGGCGGAGACACAGTGGATGAAAGTACCACGAAGGACTGCTAGGTTCTAATAGAAAGTAGCAGATGTGAGTATCAAAAATTATAAACCTTTTTGCAAATCAGAAAAGAAACAGACTTTTTTTTTTTTTTTTTTTTTTTTTGAGACGGAGTCTCTCTCTGTCACCCAGGCTGGAGTGCAGTGGCGCGATCTCAGCTCACTGCAAGCTCCGCCTCCCAGGTTCACGCCATTCTCCTGCCTCGGCCTCCCGAGTAGCTGGGACTACAGGCGCCCGCCACTACGCCCGGCTAATTTTTTGTATTTTTAGTAGAGACGGGGTTTCACTGTGTTAGCCAGGATGGTCTCGATCTCCTGACCTCATGATCCGCCCGCCTCAGCCTCCCAGAGTGCTGGGATTACAGGCGTGAGCCACCGCGCCCGGCCGAAAAAGACATTTTAAGACTGAAAAGTGGTATCACCAATGTTAGAACCAAAAAATTGGACCTGAGGGTGCCTCACCCGAGGGGGTTGAGTTAAACTCTGTTCCTGTTCCTTCTGGAGCCCTGTGGAGACTCCTGCTGTGCAGCAAAGCCTGGGAGGGGCCCTTGGCTGTGGAAGGCAGGCTGAGACGTCATAGGTGAGATAGGAGGAAGGGGACCTGCTGGACTCCTGGAGGCCCGGTACCCAGGGAAGGCCAGTTCCTAGGGCTGCCTCTGGACTTCAGAACCTTGATGTTAAGTCAGATTTTCCCGCTCCTCCATGAGCTTCCAGGAGCAGGGCCACATGGGGCTCAGAAAGTCCCACAGTGCCTGGGAAGTGGGTCTGTCTCTTGTGGGACAAAAATTCTCAGGTCTTTCTCTTTCAGATTCTTAAATTTCTTAAAAGAGATTGAATCGGAATTATCCAGGCCCCAAACTGAATCTACGAATTGGGAGTGTGTAATGTGCCTGTGTCTCTCTGTGCACATGTGGATATATAAACAGGTTTGGGCATCTGTGTGTATGTGCATGTTTATAAGTGCGTATATGTATGTATCTGTACATATTTATGTATACAAGCAGGTATGGGTATGTATGTGTGTATGTGTGTGTGTTACTCTGTGACTTCCTCATACTTGGCACCACCCTGGCCTTTTCCTGGTTGCCCCCCACACCATAGGTTGTAAGGGACAGAACAGTGCTCCACCTGCAGGCATAGAACGGGGGTCAGGATAAGTGTTGGGGAGAGCTGGTTTCATCACACCTGGAATAAGGAAACAGGACCTAAATGGATGGGTCCCACTCTTTTACAGAATTGTACCTTAAAAAAAGTGTCAGTCACGTTCCTAAGGGATTTACATGAATTAAATCATTTAAACCTCACAAGAGCCCTATGACCTAGAGACAGCTATCAGCCCCATTTTACAGACAAGGAAACTGAGGTCACTAGGAAGTTTAGTAACTGTCAATGGGCTGACTCATGACTCTAAGGAGACAGTCTGACTGCTGAGCCCAAGTAACTGCTCTGTCATACTCACCCTCACACCCATCTACTGGCTCCCTGTGGGTCACCTCCTCCTGTGGGCTCTGACCAGCTTCCCTTTCTTCTCCAGGCCCAGAGACTGGACCGAAGTCTATTGCATTTGCCGCAGTCCCGACTAGGGAGTCATGGGGTTGAAGTGACCCATAGGCTGATGGAGTGTGCTTGCTGGACGCGGGGGAAAGGGAGATTTATATCTGCCCTGGAGGGAGTCAGTGGTGTTTGCATCATGGCATATGAGGTGCACTGTCTAGAATGCTGAAGGGTAAAGACCAGCAGGGGCCATGCAGAGTCTATTCATCACGGTTTTATTTCACAGCCTGCATGGGCCTGAGAGTGGTGGGGTATTCACTAATCTCCTTCCAATCCTTACTGGTTCCTGACCTCTCTTCTTCCAACTGGCAATACCTGCACTCAAGGTTGAACCATGAGGAGGAGTCTACCCATACCCCACACTTCCTCCTCTCTGCCTGCCACTCCCTAGTGGGGCCTCCTGGATGGTGTGAGAGGAGAGCAACAGAGATAGTAAGAGAACTTGACATTCACACTGGTAAAGAGAAAGTGGGATGTCAACCTATGAGAAAGATAAGGGCTGCCACAGGGAAGGGGATGAGATAAGTTCTAACTGGCCCCAAGGGTCGCTTAACTCAGTGAAAGCTGTGGGAGGTGTTTTCAGCTATCCATTGCTATATAAGAAATTGCCACAAACTTAGCAGCTTACAACAACACACATGTATTATCCCACATTTCTATGGTTCAGGAATCCAGACACAGCTATGCAGCTTTCTCACATGATTTTCATCAGAGTGCCATGGCTTGGTCTTATCTGGAGGCTGAACTGGGGAAGGATACCCTTCCAAGCCCAAGCAATTGTTGGCAGGATTCATTCCTCCATGTCTGTTAGACTGACAGCCTCAGTTCCTTACTGGCTGGTGGCCAGAGGCTGACTTCAGTTCCTTGCCACACAGGCCTTTCTGCTTCATCGAAACTTGGAAACAAGGCAGAAGACAGAGTCATCGAGTAATACAGAAGTGGGGCTGTCATATGACCTCATTGCGGAAGTGACATCATTTTTGCCACTTTCTATTGGTTAGAAGCAAGTTTAGGTCCCATTGGTTCTCAGCTGGATGAGATGCCAAGAGACAGGATCACCGGGCATTGTCTTAGGGTCTCTATGCACAGGCTGGACCATGACTGAACAAGATCATTACAAACCCGGATCCTGGACTGGGCCAGATGATCTGCGGAGCTGAGCTGTGTTTATGAAATCAAAGCCCTGGAAACAAAAATCAAGAGATGCCCACAGGAAAGGCTGGTCTTGCATTCTGTGTGAAAGCTAAGATGACGTTCTCTCCAAATGTTTTTCTCTATTACTTTTCAAACCTCCTGCATCTGTAAAGAAGCAACACCACTAAACCTATCTGGTTTTTTTTTTTTCATTCGAATGTCATACTGTTAGGCAAATCTTCTCCTTTCACTATTTCTTCAAGCTTGTTTTCATGCAGAATCCCACAAACTTCTGGTAATTACTCTTTGTTGATTTCTTTGCCTTCACTCAGTTTATTTTTTAGTGATTTTATTTCTCTTGTATGGATAAATTAGTCCATTTAATTAGGGAATTTGTGTCTTCTAAAGAAACCTTTCTACTATTTTTTGGACCATATGGGTAAGATCCTCTTGCCAAGCCTCAGCTCTTCCCACATGGGCACAAGACAAAATTACTGGGGGTCCTGGAAAGTCGGGGATTAGCATAGTTCTTAAGCAGGATCAGACACGTAAGTCACAAAGATATAAGGCATATACCTTTGATTTCCTTGTGACCCTGATGACAGCATACCTGGCACTCAATACCTGTCTGTAGAGGTGAACTCAACTAAACTCCTCCCTGATCACGCAATACCATGTGAACCCAAGCGCCTCTTATGTCATGGGCGAAATTCCCTTGTTTTATGTCATTTTTCCAGATGAGGTGCTATTCATATGGGGACCTTTCTCCTTTTCCACCTTATTTTCCATGTGTGAAACACTGGGTCTTGATCACTCAGATCTCTCAGGGTCCTTTCTACCCTTTCCTCCATCCTAATATTCTCCCTACAGTTGCCACCAGGGTTTCCCCAAACCTCTTCTTCTCCATGTATCCAATCTAGCATCTCTCAGTTCATTCTTCACACTTAAACCAGAGCTATTCTTCTGGAATTCAGATCTGACCAAGGTTCTTCCTGACTTCAGTGCTGCCAGTGCTGCACATTGTCCTCGGATAAAAGCCAAGGTTCTCCCCAACCCCACAAGCCTTAGTCATTGAACCTGCTCACTGCTCCAAGCTTGCTTTTTGCCCCTGTGCTCCTTTCTCTCTAATCTCCACCCTGAACTGCTGACAGTTCCCCCAGACTCCCTGTGTGCTCTTTCTTCTGAGCCTTTGTTTGTGATACCGATTCCCTAAAAGGTTTCTCCTGCCATTCACCTGGATTAACTGTATTCCTCATCCAGTTCTCTGTTTAGACATTGCATCCTCTTGGAAGCAGTTTTCCCCCACTAATTATAGTAGCCTGCATTTACCTGTTTTTTTAGTCCCCTTGTGGAATCTTTGATGTTTGACTCACTGAGGCCTAGGAGAGCCTGACACATAGTAACTGCCTAATAAATGTTTGCTAAATAAATGTGGAGTTCACCATGAGGTACCACCTTGTACATGCAAGAATGGCATTAATTTGGCTGGGCGCAGTGGCTCAAGCCTGTAATCCAGCATTTCGGGAGGCCAAGGTAGGCAGATCACAAGGTCAGAAGATTGAGACCATCCTGGCTAACACGGTGAAACCCTGTCACTACCAAAAATACAAAAAATTATCTGGGCGTGGTGGCACGTGCCTGTAGTCCCAGCTACTCAGGAAGCTGAGGCAGGAGAATTGCTTGAACCTGGGCGGTAGAGGTTACAGTGAGCTGAGATAGTGCCACTGCACTCCAGCCTGGGAGACAGAGTCAGACTCTGTCTCAAAAAAAAAAAAAAAAAAAAAAGAAAAAGAAAAAAATGGCATTAATTAAAAAGTCAAAAAACAATCGATGTTGGCATGGATGTGGTGAAGACAGAACACTTTTACACTGCTAGTGGTGAGAATGTAAATTAGTACAACCACTGTGGAAAACAGTATGGAGATTCCTTAAAGAACTAAAACTAGATCTACCATTTGATCCAGCAATCCCACTACTGGGTATCTACCCAAAGGAAAATAAGTCATTATATGAAAAAGACACATGCACACACATGTTTATAGCAACACAATTCATAATTGCAGGGATATGGAACCAACCTAAGTGCCCACTGACCAACCAGTGGCTAAAGAAAGTGGTGTATATACACCATGGATTACTACTCAGCCATAAAAAGGAATGAAACAATGTCTTATACAGCAACTTGGATGGAGCTTGAGGCCATTATTCTAAGTGGAGTAACTCAGGAATGGAAAAACCAAATACTGAATGTTCTCACTTATAAATGAGAGCTAAGCTATGAGGACACAAAAACATACAAAATGGCATAATGGACTCTAGGGGCTTGTTGGTGGAGGTTGGGAATAGGGTGAGGGATAAAAGGCAACACTGGGTAGAGTACACTGCTCGGGTGACGGTGCACCAAAATCTCAGAATTCACTACTAAAGAACTCACACACATAACCAAAAACTACCTGTCCCCCAAAAACTATTGAATAAGTTTTAATAAATGTGGGGTTGTAATTTAAAATTTATTTTAAATTCAAAATAAATTCAAAATAAATTCAAAATTTATTTTGAAAGTCTAATACAAGAACAAGATTTAAAAGATTATAATAATAAAAATGTGTATAGTGTGCAAAGCAAATTTCCTTCTCCACCCCATCCACAATTCTTCCAAATTCCTTGCCTGGATGCAACCACTGTTACCAGTTTCAGCAAGAAATTAAGACAGAAATTAAAGTTCTGCTCCTCATAATAATCACGATCAATTATCCCTGCTTATACAGTAACCCCTCCTTTTCCCAACAGCCTCCTAGCATGAGGAACCCAAATTGAACAGGTAACAAACATACCCCTAAACGTAATGTAACTTGTACTCTGTTCCATGGTAGGAACTTCCTTCTCTGGGATCCCAAACTCCTAGACCAGCTGAGTACGTTGAGGGGATGGGAAGCACCAACACCCCACGCGGGTTACCGGAAGTGCTGGTGAGTATAGTCATTCCTTCTTCCAGCACTGGTGGTTAGAGACTTACTTCCTCTGCCTGTTGGAGACTTGGCACTATGTAACAGCTGCTGCCATAGCCTAAGTGTATGCTTCATCCTGAAGGACATTACCCATCCTGATAGGATGTGATCTTCAAGATAAAACCCAGCTGCACCCTCAAGAGACCATCCCACTGCTCTATCAGCTGGCAGCGTGTGTGATGCAGTATAGGGTAGAACCAGGAGATCTCATGGTCGTGTGCCCACTACCAGACAGCGTTCGCTATAAAGTAGGTCCCTTAGTCTGGGGCAATGTTATGTGGTTCCCCTATTAGAAGATCATACATATGTGAGCCCTTAGATAACGTTTCTGAGTGTGGCACTGTGGGAAGAAAGAACAAACTCATACCGCTAATACAAGGCAAGCTAAATCTGACAGAACCCCTGCCTTTTTCATTGTGAAAAAGTAAGAGTAGAATCAATTTGCCATCAAATTGCTCATTGGCCTCCATAAGCAAAGGTAATCTGTTGGAGTTTATTTATCGTTGGAAGGTAGGTTGTGACAATAACCACGTCAGCCACGCTGAAGGGAGCCCAAGCCTTGGGACTCACCCACAGTGCATCTCTTCCACCATAGATACTGCTTTCAAGAGCCTGTTTCATGAGCACTGGGATGGTTAAGGACAGAGGCTGGCTGATGTGTACCAAATGATTCATCCTGTACACCTGGTTGTTTAGACTACTTGTATAGAGGGTAATTTTTGCTGAGTATTAACATCTGATACAAAAGAGCCAAGCACTTTGTATCTACTGTATGCCTCTTTCCAGATATTCCTGTTCCTGATCTTCCTATCTTGCTCCTTCCAGGCCCCGGACCCGCTATTTAAGCCATTTGCCGTTGCCTATGAGTCTGTGCATATTCTCACCTCAGGCCACTTCTGTCTACACAAAGTGGGCAAATCAGAGCCCCACCTGCCTATTGGCAGGACCCTCTTCAGCACTGTCTCTGCTCATTCCTGAGTTGCCCACACTGCAGACACACTCTACTGCTGCCTCACACCAACACACTAAGCTGGCATGTTTATGAAGAAGCTCAGAATTTTCCTCTTAAGTCAGCTGGTCATAGAAACTACCCATAAGGTCATTGGTGAGAGTCGAGGTCAAGGCAAATTTCCAGCAGTGTGAGGTGACATGGGGTCTGAGCAATGTCTGTATGTAATTAACATCAGTACTCAGAACATACATACTTTAACCCAGGGGTCAGCCAGTGGTTTCAGTAAAGGCCCAGATGGTTTCCCTTTGCTGTGTGTGTGTTCATTCCCCTCTCCGAAGCTATGTGTAACCCCATAGGGATCGCAGGGGTTCCCATCAACCACAGCCAGTTACATCCACAAAAGCCTTGATCCTTGTTAGCAGATGGGAGCAGGTGGCTCGGAGGATTGAAATCCCTACTTCATAGGACTCTGGATACTTACACAGTTGCTTCCTCCTGTGCTTCTACATGAATCTCAGCACTGTATTTAGGACACCGTCTGCACTCTTATTCTTCATGCAATTCTGTTTGCTCCTCAGATGGCCGCTTTTCCTTTGAAGCTCAACAGTGGTCATCACGTACTTGGGCTGAGGGTTACTGGTTAACTCTGTGGGATTCTGGGATCAGTTCCTTCCCATTCTTAGCCATCCCTGTGCTTTACAAAACTTAGCTTCACAATTATACTCATCTCTCTCTGTGTGCACCTCTAAGAAATTACTGACAAAACACTTGAGTTTTTTGAAATTACAAAAATATATACAAGAAAATGTTTATGGGGCCATTGATTAGCATGGAAAAGCATAAACTTTCCTGTTTTCTGCCTCTCATTAGAATTTAATCCCCCAAAATTGAACTCATTCCAAACTTCTGGCTTAACTAGGAGTTGCTGTAGCCAGCCTATTCTAGACAGCATCCTGTAAGCCCCTGGGATTGGCAGACACAAGACCACTTTTTCCATTCATATATGTGGTTCTGTTCTGGCCAGATCAACGGACTTCCAGTGCCCTTCTTGAGTCATACTGAGGTAAATTACTCAGACCACGAACTCACATTTTTAAATAAATAAAATAGCAGCATAGTTAAGAATTTATTTATCCCATTACTGGGCATAAACCCAAAGGATTATAAATCATTCTACTATAAAGACACATGCACACATATGTTCACTGCAGCACTATTTGCAATAGCAAAGACTTGGAACCAATCCAAATGCCCATCAATGATAGACTGGATAAAGAAAATGTGGCACATATACACCATGGAATGTTATGCAGCCATAAAAAAGAATGAGTTCATGTGCTTTGCAGAGACATGGATGAAGCTGGAAACAATCATTCTTAGCAAACTAACACAGAAACAGAAAACCAAACACCGCATGTTCTCACTTATAAGCAGGAGTTGAACAATGAGAACATGTGGACACAAGGAGGGAAACATCACATACCGGGGTCTGTCAGGGGATGGGGGCAAGGGGAGGGATACCATTAGGAGAAATACCTAATGCATGCGGGGCTTAAAACCTAGATGACGGGTTGATGGATGCAGCAAACCACTATGGCACATGTGTACCTATATAACCAACCTGTACATTCTGCACATATATCCCAGAACTTAAAAGTATAATTAAAAAAATAATTTATTTCATTTGTATAGTCCATTAAATTTTTTGTACATTTTTTAAACCTGCACTTTTCATAGTTTTTGATACATCCTTGCTCCAATAAATAGCTTGCTAAAACTACTAAATCTCATAGATATACCAATGGTTTGCATCATCTAATGGCACATTTGCTTGTCAAACTGAGGTCAGCCAGTCCCCCTTCATTCACTGTTAGTAACTCATGTGTTGCATTGTTAAAAACCCAGTATCACCTCATCTCCCCTCTAGCATCTTCTCTGCAGAGGAGAAGCCAGGCACTATATCTCCCAGGATCCCCTTCCCTGTATAGTTCCAGTTTACATTTTCCAGTGAGAGAGACTTGCATAAGAAATGGGGCCCTGGAGAGATGGTGGGACAGACCTGTACCCATCAGTGGTGGCTGCAGGTAGAGGAGCAGGCAGATGTCAGGTTCTCAGTGGCTTCCCTGCTAGGCTAGAGACCCACCTGCTTTGCTTGTGTGGACTAAGATGAGTGATAAGAGCTTTCTCATAGGTTCTGGAGAATATAGCAATCTCGCAGCAGGATTCTGAGAACCTCCCATCCATGCTTCAAGCTGAAGTCTTCAGTATATGCTTCCCTGACCTCCCTACTGCAGCTTCCAGGAGCTCCAATGGTGACTGGTATTATTATAGTATCCTGCTGCTGCTATAACAAACTACCACAACTATGTGGCTTAAAACAACACCAATGTATTCTCTTATAGTTCTGGAGGTAAGAAGTCAAAAATGGGTCACTATGGGCTAAAATTAACATGTCGTCAGAGCTGCATTTCTTCTGAGGCTCTAAAGGAAAATCTGTTTCCTCACCCTTTCCAGCTTCTTGGGGCTGCCTGCATTCTTTGGCTTGTGGTCTCTTCCTCCATCTTCCAAGTCAGCAGTCACATCACTTTGACCTCTGATTCTGTTGTCACAGCTCTAACTCTGATGCTGCTTTCTACTCCTTTCACTTATAAGGACTATTGTGATTACATCGAACCTGCCCAGATAATCCAGGATAATCTTCCCATCTCAAGAGCCTCAGCTTAATCACATCTGAAAATTTCCTTTTGCCCTATTAGGAGACATTTTTATAAGTTCCAGGGATTAGGACACAGACATATTTAGGAGACCGTTATTCTGCCTGTCACATGACTTCACCAATATTTGCTACCCGTGGTTTCCAAACATTAGTGTATGCTCTTATTTCTATTTATTCCTGAAATACCAGAGTGAGTCTGTTTTTCTGAAAACAGCTCACTAATGCCCAGAGGAGCTCAAAAATTTTCTGTCTGTTGTCTCAAAGTCTCCAAATTTTACTGATTCTTCAACGTGCATGGCTGTAAATTAGGCAATAATCTTGCTGGGGTGTTGGAAGGAGAAGAAAGGGAATGATTAGACAGCCCTTCTGATTCGGGACAGAATCTGATTCGGGACACTGTCCCTGATGGCTGGCCATCTTGGGCTGTAATCCAGTTTCCCTCCCACGTAGACCCGGTCATTTCTGACTCCCCAAGAGGTTTTCACAGTATTCATGTCCACTTCCTTCATCAGTCGTCTTCTTGTCTTATATCTCCATGTTTACATTTTTCTTCTCTTCTACCACTGCAGTTCTGCCTTGATTCTTCAGCCATTGCCTTCCTTTTGCATGCATGTGCTTCAGCCAGTTCTCTAGGAAGACATTCCAGACAGCTCATTATCACTTGTTACTATGTTTATTTGACAGCAGAGCTTTCAAGATTTGTAACTTTCTATTTTTTAAATTTTAGTGTAAAAATAATTCATGCTCACAGTAGGAAATGAAACAATCAAAATATGCATAAATATACTTTTAAATCTCTCCTTTCACTAAATCCAAACCCACTTAACTAAGGTGATTACTATTGTATCAGCCTACTCTCTGCATGTCTACTTTCTTCACTTGCACGCAAACCATAGTGAGTGTTTTCATCTGGTAGTTTTTGTTGAGCTGTAATGACTATAAGTTTTATATGTAATTTAATCATTTTCAGGGCAACTTGAGATATAATTTAAATAGTATAAAATCCACACATTCAATATATACAATTCAGTGGCTTTTAGAATATTCACAGTTGTGCCTCCATTACTACAATCAATTACAGATCCTTTTATCTCCTCCCAGCCCTGCAGAAAAATCCATATCCAAACCCCAGCCCTAAGAAACTACCAACCTATGTTTTAACTCTACAGATTTACCTATTCTGAACATTTTATGTAATGAAATTATACAACATGTGGCTTTTTGTGTCTGTCTTCTTTTACTTACCAGAACATTTTCAAAGTTTGTGTGGGTCGTAGCTTGTATCAGTACTTCACATCTTTTTCATCGCTGAATTACATTCCATTGTATGGATATATCACAATTTATTTATTAGTTGGTGACATTTTGGTCCTTCTCATTTGGATTGTGATTAATAATGCTGCTATAAACATGGCATATAGGTTTTTATGTGAACTCATGTTTTCATTTCTCTTGGGTATACTGTATCATAGGAGGGGATTGCTGGGTCATGTAATAACTTAATGTTCACAAATTTGAGCTACTGCTAGCCTGCTTTCTAAAGGGGCTATGTCTCTTAAATCCCCACCAGCAAAGTGTGAGTATTCTAGTATCTCCACATTCTCATCAACACTAATTATTATCTTTTTAATTATAGCCATTCTAGTGGGTGGGAAATGGTATCTCATTTTTGGGTTGATGTGCATTTCCCTGATGGTTAATGATGTTGAACATGTTTCTATGTGCTTATGGGCCTTTTGTATATTATTTGTCTTATTATTATTATTTTTATTATTTATTGTTTATTATTATCTTATTATATTGAGTTACAACCATTCTTTATATATTCTAGATACAAGTCCTTTCCTTGCCAGATATAAGATTTGCAAAACTTTTCTCCCATTCAATGAGTTTCTTTTCACTTTCTTGATGGTGTCCTTAGACTCACACATTTTTAATTTTGATGATGTTCAATTTATCTTTTATTTCCTCTTTTTGCTTGTGCCTTTGGTATCATTTAAGATCAGGTATTTTTACCTAATCCAAAGTCATGAAGATTTATGCTTATGTTTTCTTCTAAGAGTTCTCTAATATTAAGTCTCACATTTAGGTCTTTGATACACTGAGGTAATTTTTATATGTGGTGTGAAGTAGGGATCCAGCTTTATTCTTTTGCATAGGTATAGCCTGTTGTTTCTGCACTGTTTGATGAAAAGATAATTTCTTCCCCTCACTGAATTATATTAGCACTGTTTTATAAAACCAATTAACCATATAAGTGAAGAGTATTGCTGGGCCCTCAATTTTCTTCTGACTTCATTCTTTTTAATGCTGTTGTAAGTTGGATTTTTAAATAACATTTGTATTAATGCATTGATACTCTATAGAAGCACACTCAATTTTTGTATTTTGATCTTGTAGCCTACCAATGTGCTAAACTAATTTAGTATTAGTGGTTTAGTAGTTGCTAAGCTTGTTTTTAGTGAATTCTTTTGTATTTCTATATAAGATTTTATCATCTGCAATTGAGATAGTTTTACCTCTTGCTTTTTAATCTAGATGACTTTTATTTCATCTTATTGCTCATTGTAGCTTTTGAAAAATTACATTGTATTCACAGTGCCCTACCATTTGATATTTTTATTTCTATTATATCATGAACATCCTTTGAATTTCACAGAAAAAATGGTTTAACTCATCATTTTAATGCTGTTCCATAGTATGTTATATGCACCTACTCCCCTGGGGTAAATATTTAGGTGGTTTCATTTATTTGTCACCCACTCTACAGACGTCTATATGCACATATTCTCCCAGCCATCCCAGAGTTTTCTGATTTCCCATAACGTCAGTGATTAAACTCCTGATCTGTCTGACTAGCTAGACATGCTGACTGACTGACAGTTCCATTGCTACTTTGCATAATTTAAGATCAACAGCTACATTTGGATCTCAGATCATCTAGGCCCAGCTGCAGTTAGTCTTTCCTAGTCTCAGAGATTCCCTCTCTGCCTGTTAATTTCTCTATCCCTGAAACTGCCCTTGTACTCCAGCCCAAGCGGTTTCCTAGCCCCGTAGTCCTGGATCTGCCACTTGCTAACTAGAAGGTGTCATCTGCAGAAGGTAAGTAAGGCATTTATCTCCATTCACTTTATATTTAGTTATCAATCTCCATGTAGCTCAGGTAGATCATGCTGAAAACATTCTTGTGTTTAGTAATATAGCCATTGAGCACACCATCATTGCTCTTTTCATACCTTAGTCCTACTCAAAGATTAAAGTGACAGCTTCCCAGTTATGATAAAAAAGTATAAAACATTCTGAGGGACCTGTAAACTATAAAGCTAAAATATCAGCTTCTGCATGCAACATATATGTCAAATTCTATGTCCAATACTCTTCTCGTTTTTAGAATTAATTCTGCAAACTTGAAGATTGAGCTTTTTATGAACTGATTGGCATCTGCTATGCTCACCAGATTATTCCCACTTGACTGAGAGGATGGTGGTAGCAAGAGCTCCTTCCTTTCAGAGGCTTTTAAAAATACTTATTGGGAAGAATGTACCACATAAGGCATTTAACTAATGAAACCACAGATATAACCACTGGCAAAAAAATCAAACAAACATTTCTTTAACTGCCCTGTACTTGGTACATTCTCTTCCTCCTGCTAAGGAAGTATCTCCTCTCCCTTCACTTCACAGACTGGAATTTTCCAAATTCCTAGTCTCAACAAGACAAACTGTATTTTGAAATCACTGTTTTCCCAGAATACCCGGAGTGTTACCATGACTCCAGAAGATGCCTTCAACCAAGACTCATAATCTGACTGTAAGAAACCTTCAGATAAGGTATTGGGAACTTCTGTAAAATTGTAGCTGTGTTGTGATTAGAGAATTTTCACAATATCAACAAATCTTACAAAAGAGCTGCTGATCCAACAGGTCCTCAGAGATCCTGTGTGGGAACCAGAAGGTATTCTGTGAAAAACGACAATAAGAATAACCATAATAACAATAATGGCTGCATTTAAAAGGCTCTTGCTATATTTCAGGCACTGGTTTTTGTACCTACATGGATTATTTTGTTCAATATTTATCACAACCATATGAGAAGGATGTTATTATCCACAATAAATAAATGAAATCTGTAAACTGTAACTTGTTCAAGAAAATTAGGTACAGAGATGTTAAGTTACTTGCCCAAAGTTCCATAATTTTGAAGATATGAGGCTAGAATTCAGTTCCAGGCCATTTTACACTAGATCTACTAATTTAGCCACTGTATGATTGTACCAAGACTGACCTAAAGCTACCTCCCCTTCCCCAACAGGTTCTTTTATGACAGTGAGTATAAAATACAGGGCTAATGACGTATTGGGTGCAGAGAGGGGTTGGAAAGAATGTGGTATTTCAGACTATGCTTACTATGCTTAAAAATCACAATTCCGTGGTGACTAGAGTTTATCTTAAACTTTCCTCCCTGGCATTCCATTGCATCCAGTTGAGAGAGCACTCTAGCTCCCTACATCCCAGAACATGTAGATCTGTCCGTGGTTCTGAAAGACACACTGGCAGGTCCCGCCAACTACATGAATGGCATTCATATTGTGGAAAACTGCCCACTAGTAAAAATGTACAGTTGAATTTGTACATTCGTTACTTACAAGATTGGAGAACGTGAAGTACTGGACAATCCAACAATAGCTTGGAAAGATACCATAAAAAGACCCGCAGAATATTCTTTTATATGCATTATACTGAAATGTACAAAACAAAACCAGAATGGGACACATTATGAGTGAGAAGTTTATCTTGAAATTTTAATCAGAATATGAAGAAAAGAAATCCAACATTAGACCTGGAAAAAGATAAAATAATTTGTATTTCATTTAACAATATTTATAGATTCTCAATATATACACTATCCTTTTAAACCTCAATTTATATTTAACCATCCATTTACCTTTATTTTTTGTTTGTTTTTTTCTTTCACCTCATACTTTCTACCTGGGATATCTTTTTGTGACTAAAGTACATTCTTTAGAACTTCTTGTACTTTACTAGGTGTGTTTGTGTTAAATTGTTTGTCTTCAAAATTCATCGAGATTTAAATTTTATTATTATATTTTCATGCTTAAGTGTTATGTGTTTGTCTCTTCAAATTTTTCTGAAGATTATTTATAGTTTTATAGTCACTAAATGTATTTAACAATCTGTTCTTTAATCATAGCCCATTTAGCAATTTTATATCCTATACAATTATTCTGATTTCTCAGTTATATGATTGTATGATTCTGCTGTCTGTTGTATTTTCTTGTTCTTTCACGGTGCTTTGTCTCTTATGAACATTGTTCTCTGTTGTTGTTCTTAACTGTTAAGTGCTCCTTTTGCTGGTGTAATGATTTTTTGGAATTTTCAGAGTGCCAATGACAGTAGAAATTTTCCAGAGAAGTTTTGCTTGATTTTCCAAGGTTCCTTGGAGTCTGCACTACTTTAAAATAAATTCATGGCTTGATGATTTTGAGACCACCCAGGGAGTGTGAACTCGGGCTGCAAATCCACTTCTCTTTAATCTCAGGAGAAGGTTTTGCCCCTCTCCACTCAGCACCAAGGTGACTTTCTGGGGAGACCTTCAAGCAAGGATGTTTTCCTTATACTGAGGAGCTGGCTTTGGGATCCTGGTGAAATGAGGAGAACACTCTATTAAATTTCCCACTCTGAGTGCTACCTGAACTCTGTCTTCTATTCCAAATGCCTTAGGAGGCCATGAAAACTAAACCTTAATTATCCTACATTAAGTAAATAAGCTCAGCAAAAAAAGTAAATGCACAATTCCGTGATTTAGGATTTGACAATTTTTATTAAAGTTTAAGCCTCTCAATGCTTCTACATTGTGTTTTATTTTTTCACCATCCATTTTTGTTAGCATGAGGGTAGGTATGTTTACCTAAATGTGCCATGTGAGTGGTTCAAATCTCCTCCCCAATGCTCCTTATCACAAACCTTACCATCTTATTCCTTTAAAGTCACTGACTATCTAAGCAAACTACTAGCTACTGCTGTGCATTGATTAGGACCCAACAGTAAGACATTTCTCCTTTTGGTAAACTGCACTTCCAGATGGTCTAATTGAACATCTTCTCACTGGAAGTATTTTTATTTCCATTACTCTTAATGATGATTCCTGAAAGAGACTCTAATGCCCTGACAGTTAACTCTGGGGTATCCAAGCATACTCAAATTTTTTTCCTTCTACAGTCAATTGTCCTTAGGGAACTCCTCAAGACCTCAATAATGAGACAAGGGAGATTGGACTCTCCAGTGGTAATAAGAACATTAGGAGTATAGTACAAATTATTAGGCAACTTACCTGGCCTTATGGAACCTGCTAAAGTCTGATGCTGTGTATACCATTT
Source organism: Homo sapiens (assembly GCF_000001405.40). NCBI lineage: Eukaryota > Metazoa > Chordata > Mammalia > Primates > Hominidae > Homo > Homo sapiens. The sequence goes on along the minus strand of NT_167249.2, from coordinate 2,593,827 downwards.
CCCCTTGCAGACTGAGGGCTGGTGAGCATGAGTGACCCGATAAAACTCAGGTCATAATGGGCATCTCAAGTCACTTGGTCATTTTCTGTATCATGATCATAGAATTCAGAATCTACCAGGGCCCAGTAGTAAGCCAGAAGCTATTACTCAAATTCAGAAAAAGAATGGAACTTTTTCCCCAAACCCTGAAACTTGGGCAATGAGTCCTATGACTGCCACACACACACACACACACACACACACACACACACACACACACACACTCAACAATATCCAAATGAGCATTTAGGGCCAAATGGCAGATATGCTTGACTTTTGCCTGGATCAAAATGACATTTCCATTTATTATGGAATGTTTCTGTACTTGTACTAGCTCATAGGATTTTGGATTAGAGAAATACCCTTGCAGGATATGAAGTCATACTTTTTCATTGGTGAAATCATCTGTCCTCATTAGAGTTTAATAATATCATGCAGTTATTTCTCAAAGAGCTTGTACTCCTTAGATTTGCTGGAATTCCTCAAGTTAAAAAGACCAGGGCCTCAATAATGGGAGGTCTCATTGCCAATGGCTACAACCGGCTGTAGAATTTATTAAAAACATGTGAGTGCATTGTTTGGGGAAAGAATCAAGAACAAAAGCAGTGCTTGTTTTGTACTTCACTGAACTACTTCCATGGCCTCCATTCAACTTTAGCTGCAGTTTTGGTGACTTGATTCACAGACTGTCGGAAAGTTATGAGCTATGGAATGTGCTCTCTCCAATACTAAAAGAGGCCAGTCATATATATGTAGGGTGTCCTTCTTTATCATTGTAGGTTGTATGAAGTCAGTGATTCCCATAGAACCTTGGGGTCACAGATGCCAGGCCTAATCTTCTTTTATTATTCATTCAATCTTTATTTTTTCAAACAATGGTCTCACTCTCTTGCCCAGGCTGGAGTCCAATGGTGCGAACACAACTCACTGCAGCCTCGACCGCCCCAGGCTTAGGTGATCCTCCCACCTCAGCCTTCCAAGTAGCTGGGACTACAGCTGTGTGCCACCGCACCTGGCTAATTTTTGTGTTTTTTGTAGAGATGGGTTTTTGTCATGTTACCCAGGCTTGTCTTGAACTCCTGGGCTCAAGCAATCCACCCACCTTGGCCTCCCAAAGTTGTGGGATTACAGACATGAGCCACTGCACCCAGCCCTAATCTTATTTTAATTTTAGAAATCTAACTTGACAGTTTCTGGTGCCTGGATCCATATTTGTCTCAGAAGATTGAATTGTGGACTGTGACCTTCTCTCCCAAAAGTCTCTTTCAGGGTAGAACTTCTGGTTATGGCAACATGAAGAGATAGACCAGCAAGTTTTCCTCCAACAGCAACATGAAAACTGTACTAAATACTAAAAACAAACATTTGAAGTCACTGGAAAATTAACAAAGGCAAGCAATATGTGATAAGAGCTTTCTTGTTTAAGACTCCTGTCTTAGGTAAGGACTGCAAGTTGGTGGCCTTTCCTTCTTACCTATGAGTGCTCTTCAGCCTCCCAGCAGATAACTGCAGCCCTAGTGGCTCAATATGGGCAGTTTATAGAGTTCAGAGCCCAAATCAGCTAGAAATGTAAATGAGAATGTTGAAAGAGAGCTGCAGAAGAGTTGAGATCAACAATGTGAATGCAAATTATGCTCATCCCTAGTTGAACACTAAACTCTGCATGGGTGTGGGCCACTTGGGAATCTGGTGAAAAACCAGAAAGAAACTAGAGGGAGGTCTACCCTCCAAAGAGATAAATGATCCTGGTGAGATCTGCAAGTCTTCAGTAACATGGACTGAGTACATTTGCCAACCTGCACAGAGCTCAGTAGAAGAAAGCAAAAATCTTACTGGCTTGAGAGGTGAAAAGGCAGGATTTGAGGCTAACAAAACAATTGGAAATTCAAAGAGAATTCCAGAAACAAAGCAACCACAATGAAGTTGAATCACAAAATCTGAGTATAAATGACCCAAATACTTGGTCAACCTCTAAATTACACAGATGCAGGACACACACTCAGAAACCCCTGCTGAAACCACGTAAGATACTAAGTGGAAATTCTCAAACAGAAAAAAAAAGAAAATGAAAGTATTCTGGAAGAGGTCCACAGAAGTTTTGAGATGGCAGAATAAAGAACAAGCCTGTGACTTTGAATATAAATCTCCAGAATGTGCTCAATTCTAAAATCCAAAACACAGATTGAAATAAGATTAAAGAAAAAAATGAAGAGAACCTCATGAACCCATCAGAGAATATAAAGCAGGTGACCAGATATGCAAGTGGATCCTCAAAAGAAGACACAGGATCAGAAAAAAATATTTGAGAAAATAATAGTTGAAAGTTTCCCACATTTGGTGGGGGATTTTAGCTCATATCTAAGGCGTTCAATAAATGAAAGCAAAATAACTGCAGAGAAAATTACAAATAGGGTGACCAAGGCCTTGGCCTGGCCTGAGGCAACTTAGCTAGCACCAGGGATGTGTGTTCTGGTGTGGAGTAAGATCAGGGAGCTACCAGTGCAATCTCTGCCTCTACATCAGCGGGACTGATCATTTTAATTTTGATTGCAGTTACTGCTGGTATCTGAATCAAAGTGGTGATGCTTCCTGAGGAAATTTCTGAAGCCATTAGTCAATTAGACCATTATAAGCCATGCCTCCCGTGAAGAGGAGCATCTAATCCCAGCATTTGCACCAGGGAACTCTGCCTGAAGGGATTACCAGTGACTTGAAAGTGTAACCAACAACAATCTTGTCACTATTACGCACCAGCTAAGCAATCTGAACATACATGCTGAAGACACATTTGGTGAGCTATTTAAGGAGGCTAACTGCTTCCACATTAGATCAAATTCTCTTAGAATTTGTTGCCTCATGGTCAAAGTCACTCAGCTGGATTCAGCAGTGGAAGAGGTGTCACCACAGGACATCAACATGGAAAAAGCCCTCAAAAGTTCCCCAGCCCAAGACCAGCAAGCAGTTTCAAAGAGCAGCATTCCTACTCCTGCTGCTGACATTTACAATCAGAGTGATTGACCACCTCCCCTGAATAGCATGAGAGCACATGGAGATGATAAAGACAGGCTGAAGTTCTATACTGATCCTTCCCATTTATTTGACCTCTGGAAAGAAGTGCTGCAGGACACAGAAGACAAAAGGAAAGACAGAAGGCATCAAAAGTAGCAAAACCACATAGATGGCACCACTTATGATGTGAAAAGGATTACAAAAGCCAGAAACAAGCACCATGAGTGGAATATGATGGCATATGACAAAGAGCTTAGACCCAGCAACAGGTTGTCTCAGTGTGTACCATGGAGCATCCTGCAAGAACCCCTGTCCCTAGACAGCAGGTCCCATACAATGGATGTTAGGGATGCTCTTATGGAGCTACTCCAAACCATTCTCACGACCCTTCCTAGGCAGCTGAAGATGCATCTCCACATGGGCCCACAAACCAGGCCCCTGAGCTTGAGTGCCACCCCTCCTCTGCCTCAGTGAGGCACATGGCCCTAAATGGACCTCAAGAGCGGCCCCCACTTCCCTGCCTTACCCCAGCTGTGTTCCAATCCTGTGCACTTATGGCTCCAGGAGACTACAGGATGCTCCCAGCACAGGTGCTTGCATATTACAACCCGTCAAGACCTCCTTCTCTTCCCCCTTTTACAGTACAAACTGCCTTTGTTGCCTTCTGCAAATCCTCCTGCCGCCTCCTTCCTCATATCAGCTGGCTCCACACACCCTCCTCCTCACCCTCCCTCCACTGGCCCCTGGGTCCAGCATTCCCTCCTCCAGCCACACACTTTCCCCACCAGGCCTCTTGGCTCAGTTCTTCTTTTTTGTCTTCCCCGTGCATTCGCCCCCACACTACCACCAGTAGCTGAGGCAAAGCGTCAAGAACCTGCACAGCCACCAAAAAGTGATACGAGAAGTGATCTCCTTGCTGCTACTGGAATGAGGATTTGACGGGAAAAGGTGCAGGATCTGTGTGAGCAAGAGGCCAAGAGTGAGCCCCTTGGGAAGGACAAGGTCACAACCCTGTCAATACATTGCAGTGGAGAAGTACAGGGATTCTGAGGGAGACTTAGAGTTTGACAAAAACAACCGGCCCAACCAAGGCAGTGCTGGGGCTAGCTCTATGCAACAGGTGGGTAGCTGGTACCAGGCTGGGTGACAGCCAGGAGACCATATGCTAAGAATGTACTTAAGATTTCAAGTGGTCTCAGCACTCAATGGTATTATAATCCCGCAGCTGAGCACCTTTTGTATTAATGATGTGATATTGCTTCTGCACATCCAAAAATTCTGGGTTTTCTCGTATTTACTGTGTAACATTTAAATGCCATTAAGCATAGAATATCATGCTGCACATGAAGAAATAGGATGTAACTATTACATCGTCCTGAAAAGAGCGTTTTTTTTTTCCTGTAGGCCATGAAAGTATTTAGTGTACTTTGGGTTTACTCTTATTGATCATTACAATTCTGCAGATGTGCTGTGTGAAGCTGCCTGGTGCTAGGCCTTTGAAGATTAATAACTGTGTTTCAGGTGGATATCTTCAGATGAGTAATTGATATTGTTTTACTGTTTTGGGGTGTTTTATGAGTTTGAAAAGCTGTTGGTTCTAGAGGGAAAGGTTTAACAAATAAGGAGAATCCAATATTTCTGCTTTCATTTTCTTGGCGTGGTATCCTCTGTGTGAATTTGAATGCTCAGTTGAATAGTTTTATTGCCTTAGTACACACTTGTCAAATGTAAAGTTGGAAGGACCCTTTTCAGGAAGGGTTTCCTGTGAACATTCACTTAGTAAATGCTTGTGGATGATTCTTGTAAGAGGTCTCAGTGCTTAGAAGTAATGAAAATGAAGAACAAGATCCTTTCACCTTCAGGGTCCTTTGGGACCAATACTCAAAATATTTGCCAGCCCTTACAGCTTGGGCACCAGCCAGCAGGAGCAGAGGTGAGTGGTCCAGGAGCTGGGCAGCTCTGGGCAGAGCAGCTGCATGTGGGCCCTGGGTGCTAAGCAGGCCTGCTCATTGTGTGTCCTGGAAGAGCTGTGTTCTAAAGGAGGCCACAGGAGTTCTTAGCTCCTTAGTGTGTGACAGACAGTGCTTCAGAGGGCACCGTGCTCCACTTGGTCTTAATTTTGAAAGTTTACATTGAGGTGAAAGTAGATATTGACAGCTGTTCACTCTTCATGTGCTGTGTTCAGATTACGGATGAATCCATGAGCAGGGCCTTTGCCTTATCCTAGAAACACGTGGTTATCTTCCCTCATGTTGTTGCTGGCACATCACATGTTGATAAGTACCTCTCAAGATTACCTTGATAGACCCGTAGCTGTAGAAGAGCACTTAGTTCTCACCTCTGCCCTTCCCCTTATTCTTGCACCGTGGTCATGCTAGAGACCCATGGGGTTTATTTTCCTGGCTAAGGCAAACTGTTGGGAAATGCAAGAAAGAGAGCTTCTATTGTGTAATTCTGGATGAAGAATAACTGCTTGTTTAGAACAAATAAATGTCCCAGGCTTTGATTATAGTTATGACTTCAAAAATATGCTAAGACCATTTACTTACTGAGGAAATCTTACCTACTTATAGTATTTCAAATTGATTGAAGTCATTAGTGACTTTCAGTTACGATGAAGGGAAGAATCTTGAGCTAAACGCAGGGTTGTCTGAGGTGATGATAGGAGTGGAAACAGGATGGTAACTAATGGATTTAGGTTAATGAGTTCTGAGAAAATCAACCAGCCCCTGCAAGTCACAGCTCTGTGTCTCTAAGTGGACACCTGTCTGTCTTGAGGCAGTCATCATATAATACGCATCACATAGATTTTAGTCATATGGATTTTGAAACTCTGGAAACCATATGTCTGCAGCTCCCTTTCATGACCATGCTTGTGCTGGTTTATCTGATCTCCTCAGCTGTACCAGCTGCTGTGGCATGAGCTTCTTGAGCTTCTCTTTTTAGAGCTGATCATTATCTGGCGGCTGTCGCTATAATTTTCTTGAATACAAGTAAACATTATTTATAAACTTTTAAATTTCTCTGTTTAATTTTTCTCTCTCTTTTTTTTTTAATGTAGAGGCCTACTTTGCTGGCATCTTTGGGTCCTACTCAGTCATAAACCACCCTCCCCACCCTAGAGTAGCCACTCTTGATTTCTAATACAGATGAGTTCTGCCAGGTCTAGTTGAATGGCATTATACAGTCACCATCATGACCCTGGGTCTCATCATCTCGCTGTGTGTGGTCGTAGCCTATTCACTCCCATGGCTGTCCAATGCTCCACTTTATAAATAACTCACATTTCTTGTCCTTTCACTGTTGATAGACAATTTTGTTGTATACAGATTTTACAAATCGTGCTGCTATGAATAATATTTTCATATAGTTTGGCACACACATACATGCATTTCTATTGGTTTAGAACTAAGAGTGCTATTGCTGGATCATAGGTGAGTAGATGATTGGCTTAGTCTCTCAAAAAGCAAGTTTCTAGTAGTAAACAAACAGTAGAGGAGGGTGAATCTCTTACTTAGAAATTATTCAGATAATAAATGAAGAAGGAATGAGAGACTGAGACTATAATAACTCTTTTGCAACCCATCATGAATTAACAGATTTAGCCATTGAATAGCAATGGCAATTAACAACACAATAAAAGAAAAAACTAATGTGAGGTTCTTCCTCTTGATGGAAGAACACAATACAGCACCATCAAACAAGTCCAAGTGAAAAAGAAACCAAGCCTGAATAGAAGCTGATCTCCATAGCCAATTACCAATTTAGAGGCAATACAGATAATAGAAATGCATATTAAACTATGCCTTGGGGAGCAATCAGCAAAATGCACACTATGGGAAGCTCTACCACACAATATAAATTTCAAGGAAGAATCTATAGAATAAAGACAACAAAAGCATATTTCTAAAGGTAAAACTAAATCATAATATTGGATGATAAAAATAAAAATAAAACAAAGAAGTGATGATCGTAAAAGTCAGGTTGTGTTTTTATTTGAGGGAAGAAAGAGTTTATTGCTGGGCTGGAGCAAATGATGGGGCTTCTGGTTTGCCCCACAAACATCTATCCCTGGTGATTAATGGGTGTTTACTTTGTATTAAAGGACACAAATTTTAGACAGTTTTTTCTTTTGGAGTCCTAGATTTTATTTTATGACACAAAGGCTAATGAAAAAATAATTTATAGAGTATGGTTACTGTTTTGCACAAAGCCTCCTCCCCATCTTCTTTTCTGGACACTGAGCACCCAGAACAACCAGCAGCCCCAGGACCCCCAGCAGGGGTGACCTCACTTCTAGGTGTGCATGCAGCTTACATCACCAGAGGTAACATGCAGGTCTACTCCTTGACTCCTGGAAGAACCTGATAGGACACAGCTGAAGGGAAGCCTTCTCCGCCATCTGTAGGCTCTTGGCCATCAGTGTAGAGGGAGCGGGTCCTCACTTCTCCACAGGCGTCTTCACGGCCATAGCCTCCTCTCTGCATGGGGAGTAAGGCCTGGCCCTTCGCCTGAACACGGTGACAGGGATCTCGCCAAAGGTGGAGATCACACCATTCCTCCTTTAGCAACCTCACGCTTCTTTTGCTTTACAGGAAAGTTGACTCAGGCTGGTGTCCAGTAAAGAAATCCCAAGGAGAGGCCGGGTGCGGTGGCTCACGCCTGTAATCCCAGGACTTTGGGAGGTCGAGGTGGGCAGATCACGAGGTCAGGAGATTGAGACCATCCTGGCTAACATGGTGAAACCCCGTCTCTACTAAAAAATACAAAACATTAGCCGGGCATGGTGGCGGGCACCTGTTGTCCCAGCTACTCGGGAGGCTGAGCCAGAATGGCGTGAACCCGGGAGGCGGAGCTTGCAGTGCTCCTGCTCCCAGGAGGCGGATGCCCAGGATGAGCTTTAAGGTGGAGAGAGGAATGTCATTGCTCATCCTCCAGGTTTCAAGTAAGAACCTTCCTGCCCAGCCCATCTCGATCTCCCTGAATCCTCAACGCTAATGAGGACTGTCTCCTTCTCACCTCCCTAGACTGGGCTTTTTAACACTGGAAAGTGGATGTGATTTCTAGTTTCAGCATGTCCTGGTTTATTGTGCTGCCAGTAAAATAAAATCAAAATACACATTGAATAAATAATAAATAACCCATAGTGAGCAAAGGCTTACAATGTATTTTTTTGAGTCAAGACCTCACTCTGGCCTGGGCTGGAGCCCAGTGGTGGGATCGTAGCTCAATGCAGCCTTGTATTTATGAGCTCAAGGGATCTTCCCACCTCAGCCTCCACAATACCTGGAAATACAAGCGCCCACCACCAGGCCCAGCCGTTTACTGATTTTTATTTTTTTTAGAGACGAGGGTCCCACTATGTTGTCCAGGCTGGTCTCCAATTCCTGATCTCAAGCAATCCTCTTGCCTTAGCATCCTGAATTGCTGGGATTACAGGCGTGAGCTGTCATGCCCAGCTTGTAATGTACTGACACTATCAAGGTTTCTTTCTCCAAGTGTGGACACAGCAGCAGACACCCCTTGTCTCTTGGGTCAGGACACTGGGTAAAGTGGAATAGCAAGGCAACAAAGTCACTGCAGAAAGCACCCACGTGGAAGAGGTCCAGCAGGGAGAGCCACCTGTTCCAGGGACACCATATTTAGGGATAACTCCTCTTTCTGGGCAGGACTGTTCTTTGATTACTTTTGTATTCACAATAGTTCTGAAATCGTAGGATGATGAGACTCAAGACTGGCTAGGGTTTTATTTTTGTTTAGTTTTTATTTTGTTTTGTTTTGTTTTTTTCAAAAAACCATCATGAGATTTGTTAATCTTTTGAATGGTTTTTGTGTCTCAATTTCCTTCAGAACTTAACTCTTCTTAACATTTCACAGTCCACTTTCAGTTAAAAATGTACTAGTACCCATAAATAGAGAAATCTTGCAACCATTTATCCTCTATAAAATGTCCATCTTTATGGTACAGATATTATATGTAATATATCTATATAGGTTATAAGTCCCACAAGAAAAAAACTTCTTCTTATCTTTAAACAGTTCTATGTATATAAATTAGAGTAAATGAGGGGAACAAGATAGCCTTTTGCACTTAGCTCAGTATTTACCATTTTTGATCATCTTCATCTTTTCTTTTTTTTTTTTTTTTTTTTTTTTTTGAGACGGAGTCTCGCTCTGTCGCCCAGGCTGGAGTGCAGTGGCGCGATCTCGGCTCACTGCAAGCTCCGCCTCCCGGGTTCACGCCATTCTCCTGCCTCAGCCTCCCGCGCAGCTGGGACTACAGGCGCCCGCCACCACGCCCGGCTAATTTTTTTTGTGTGTTTTTTAGTAGAGACGGGGTTTCACTGTGTTAGCCAGGATGGTCTCGATCTCCTGACCTCGTGATCCGCCCGCCTCGGCCTCCCAAAGTGATCTTCATCTTTTCTGATAACCTCATTTCCCACCTGGTATCATTTGTCTTTAGCCTGAAGAATTTTCTTTACCAATTGTTATTGTGCAGATCTGCTGGTGACAAATTCTCTTAATTTTCTTTTACCTGAAACATCTCCTTATTTTGCCTGTCCTTGAAGGACATCTGTGCTGGATATAGAATTCTTAGTTGTCCTTTTTTTCTTCCAGCACTTTAAAGGTGTTATTCTACTTTCTTTTGTTTCTATGGTTTCTAATAAGAAGTCGTTGGTCAGGACAAGAGGAACAGAGAAACCAAAACTGAGGAAATAACATGGTAGACCTAAAACTTATCAATAATGAAAAAAAAACCTATATGAATCAACACTCCAATGAAGGGCAGAGATTGTGTGAATTGGTTAAAAAACAAAACAAAACACAGAACCCAACCATATGCTCTTTCCAGATATGCAGTTTCTTTGTTTCTTTTTTTTTTAATTTAACTTTTATTTTTAGTTAAGGAGTACATGTGCAGGTTTGTTATATAGGTAAACTTGTGTCATGCGGTTTTATTGTACAGATTATTTCTGTACCCATTAGTACCCACCCAAGTATTAAGCCTTAGTACCCATTAGCTATTTTTCCTGATCCTCTCCCTCCTCCCACCCTCTACCCTCAAGTGGACCCCAGTGTGTGTTGTTCCCTTCTGCGTGTCCATGTGTTCTCATCATATAACTCCTACTTATAAGTGAGAACATGTGGTAATTGGTTTTCTGTTCCTGCCTCAGTTTGCTAAGGATAATGGCCTCCAACTCCATCCATGTTCCTGCAAAGGACATGATCTCATTCTTTTTTATGGCTGCATGGTATTCTGTGGTGTATATGTGCCACATTTTCTTTTTCTTTTTTTTTTAATGGAAAATAACTTTTATTGAGATCCCACCAGTTGCAATATCTGTTCCCAGCATTAAGCTCCTTCTTCCTTTGCAATTCGGTCTTTCTTGAGTGGTCCCATGAATGCTTTCTTCTCCTCCGTGGTCTGGAAGCGGCCATGGCCAAACTTGGAGGAGGTGTCAATGAACTTAAGGTCAATCTTCTCCAGAGCCCGCTGCTTTGTCTGCACCAGCAAGGACTTGTGGAGGGTGAGCACCCACTTCTTGGTTCCCACCACACAGCCTTTCAGCATGACAAAGTCATTGGTCACTTCACCATAGTGGACGAAGCCACCCAAAGGGTTGATGCTCTTGTCAGACAGGTCATAGTCAGTGGAGGCATTGTTCTTGATCAGCTTGCCATCCTTGATAAGGTAGCCCTAGCCAATCCTATAGATCTTGTTGATCTCAGTGCGGTGATGGTAGCCTTTCTGCCCACCACGTACCACAGAGAAGCCCACACGAGCAGGATGCCATGCCCCAATACAGGCCACCTTGCACAGGCCTTGGTGGGTCTTGCGGGGCAGCTTCTTGGTGTGCCAATGACTGGTGACCCTTTTGTAGCCTTTGCCCTTGGTCACCCTGATGACGTCGATCATCTCATCCTGCCCAAACACTTGGTTCACAGGTACCTGGTGCTTGAGCCTCTCGCCAGCCCAGTCCAGCTTCTCAGCCACAGTGCCTCCATTCACCTGGATCTCCATCAGGTGGGCCTTCTTCTGGCACAGAGGAAGCAGGTGCATCTGGGTGTGGGCAATGACGCAGATGACTTGGCAGTACTTCTTCATGCTGCTGAAGTCCTTCTCCAGCTGCTTCTTGCCATCCTCATCCTGCCATTTCTTGCAGTACTTGGTAAAGGCCTTCTTCTTAGATTTATGCCAGTTCTTATAGAAACGCCTCTTGCATTCATCACTGATGTGCTCAGCGAAGACAGTCTTGCAAGTCCGGAAGCCTTGAGGGGTTTCCACGCAGCCCACAATGCCCACTGGTGGCCTCTCCACAATGGTCACAGCCTCCACCACCTCCTTCTTGTTCACCTTGGATCCTGGCCTGTCGACTTCCCGCACGATGTGGGTCATGCCAGCCTTGTATCCCAGGAAGGCTGTGAGGTGGACCGGCTTGGATGGGTCATCCTTAGGGAAGCTCTTCACCTTCCCATGATGCCTGCTGCTGTGCTTCCAAGGCAGGAAGCCGAGGGACCCATGTCTGGGAGTGGAGAACTTTCTGTGAGACATCACGCCATCAAATCCTGCCGGTAGAGCATATTTGCCACATTTTCTTTATCCAGTCTACCATTGATGGACATTTAGGTTGATTCCATGTCTTTGCTATTGTGAATAGTGCTGCAATGAACATATGCATACATGTAAGACATGGGCTTTCTTTTTTTAATTTGCTTTGTTTTATTTTACTTTAGGTTCCAGGATACATGTGCAGAACCTGCAGGTTTGTTACATGCGTATAGTCTGCCATGGTGGTTTGCTGCACCTATTGACCCATCCTCTAAGTTCTCGTCCCTTGCCCCCCACACTCCCCAAAAGGCCCTGATATGTGTTGTTCCCCTCCCTGTGTCCATGTGTTGTCATTGTTCAACTCTCACTTAGGAATGAGAACATGAGGTGCTTTGTTTTCTGTTCCCGTGTTAGTTTGCTGAGGATGATGACTTCCAGCTTCATCCATGTCCCTGCAAAGGACATGAACTCATTCCTTTTTCTGGCTGTGTACTATTCCATGGTGGTATGCACCACATTTTCTTTATCCATCTATCACTGATGGACATTTGGGTTGGTTCCAAGTCTTTGCTATTGTAAATAGTGCTGCAGTAAACATACGTGTGCATGTGTCTTTATAGTAGAATGATTTATATTCCTTTGGGTAGATACCCAAAGGGTCAAATAGTATTTCTGGTTCTAGATCTCTGAGGAATGGCCACACTGTCTTCCACAATGGTTGAACTAGTTTACATTCCCAACAACAGTGTAAAAGTGTTCCTATTTCTCCACAGCCTCACCAGCATCTATTGTTTCTTGACTTTTTAATAATTACCATTCTGACTGGTGGGAGATGGTATCTCATTGTGGCTTTGATTTACATTTCTCTAATGAGCAGTGATATTGAGCTTTTTAAATTTTTCTCATTAAGATTTTAATGTCTCATTTTAAAAAATTAAAGGAAGTTTCCATTTATTTTTTAAGATAAAGATTTAGCGCACCCAAATGCCCCCAAAGCCAACAGAAAAATAGCTTTGCCCTGTCATTTCCCTAAGAAAGCACTGCAGTTACTCAAAATATGCTCAAAGAAAAAAATGCAATCCTCTGAGTTCTAAGTTTCACGAAAGGACCACATGTTAAACTATGTATATCGATTTGATGTGTAAGTATGCAATAAATATGTACACATACATTCCTATCTGCTTCACATCATTCTAGAGTATTCATAGTATATGAAGATGGGATTTAGAAATGTGAAAAGGCTGTAACAGTGAAAAGGAAAAAAAGGGTACAAAGGTTTTTAGACCAGTAGAATAATAATGCTTAGCTAGTTAATTATTTTAACTTTGGAGCAGACTAAAAAAGTTGTTTTGAAATAAATGGTACCTGTAAGTGATGCTTACTGCAATACTTGTTAAGTGTTATTTGTCACCACTGACAGGAATTATATAGTGCTAGTAACACAGCTCCCACTGTCCTAGAATTCCTCTAAATGGCCAGCTATTGCTACCATTATCTTGATAAGCATTTCAAGAATTGTGTTGCTGAGCCTTTTAAAAGATAACTAGTTTATAACCTATGTCTCCTTATGTGCCTACATCAGTTACTCATGGTCCCAAAGAAGTATAAAAGAGGATATAAGCTGCTGAAGATTTCACAGAAGAAACAGAGATATCAGAAACTTCATGATCATCAAACTTAAACCACCGCTGTTTTGCTGCATTTTTACAGTAGGCTGTGTAATGGCCTCCATCCAGCCCACCGCAGTGATCTGAAACAGAAAACAAATTATATTTCTTCAAATTGTTCTTTGGACCAATAACATACTGTGACAAGGCAAGATTTTCTAACGGGAAGTCCACAGATGTCTGTAATTTTTGTTTCCACCTGCCATTGTAGGAAAAATGTTTCAGATGCACTAAAAGCACAGGTGGTAACTTCCAGATTTCTTTTTTAAGAATCCCGTCGAGCTCTGCAAAGATTGCAGTAAAATCTGTTATTATCTATGAGTTTTTCTTCTTTAGAAAATAATCTAAGGCAATCCTATAATGTACATTTACTTGTGGATGCTATCAGTAGAGACAAATACATGAAGGCCTCAAGTGTCCTAGACTTTTTGTGACGGGTGAGGCACTGTACTGTAGATTTGAATTGACCCTGAAAAAGTGCAACAATAATAGACTCATAGAGCCGCTTGTGTTTCTGCCAGGCATGTTCTGCAGCTTTAAAGTCATTGAGATGATCATTATTTTCTTCTTTATATGTCTTCCGATTATCAGTTTTATTTAGATCTTCATGGAGACCATCCATTAGGAACAGAAGAAATTCTTGTGAATCTTGACTGTATCCTGCAAACTGGTAATTGATCTTCCCAATGGTGACTTTAAGGTCTTTTGGACTGATATATCTATACTGTCCTGTCCACGGGGCTTTCATGATTATACCAAATTCTTCTGCCACTTCACCTTTATGCCCCTAACAAATTTGACTTGTTAATATCATCCTGATAACAGTTTCGGTTGAAATAATCAGCCAAATGTGGAGGATTACATAGGCACTGCAATATTGAGTTCATATAACAAGTATTTCCTAAGTTACGAAGTCCAGTAAGAGCTGGTCCAGAACCTCCAAAAACAGGATTGAGTTTCCAAATCTGAGAAGCAGAAAGCCTTGAGATCTCAGCTTTAGGGTAGCATGTTGGCTTGTCTTCCTGATTAACTGTTGGAGTTACTGCTGGCTTCCTCTTGAATAGCCTGGGTTATATCTGGGGAGGAGTAAGAGCATTTCAGTTTGGAAGGTTCCCTATCCTGCTTAGCAGGAATCTGTGGCTTGCCTTTATGAGTTGGAGGGGTGGAAGGAGGTGCAGATGAAGGAGCCATTTCCAGTGGGTACATATGAACAGTGTTAGTGGTGAATGATAATAATGAAACGTTCCAGTGATTGGATCAAGAAACTTGGCCCAGCCTGAAGGCAGTCCTGGTACCATCCTCCCCATTTCTTCACTTCGTGCTATTATCGAAGGTTCTCGTTGAGTTTTATTTCTTTAAGTATCATCTGTATCCTCTCTAAAAGTTTCTGTCCTTAGAATTCCAGTTTCTGGTTGTCCTTTAATCTTAAAAGGCTTGCCTGAACCTGAATCCCCTGTCGCAGATGTATGGGACACATCTCTTGTTGACTTTTTCTGTACTTCTGGGGTTGAACATCTTCTCCCCCTGTCCTCTACAGACTTCTCGGCACCAGAGGTTTCATGATCACTTTTACTTTGTCTTTTTACTCTTGTTATTTCTTTGCCCTTCTTTGCTGAGATTTCTTTATCCTCTTTCTTGGCCTGTTCACGTTCTTTCTTCTCCATTTCTTCTTTTGCTTTTTGTTGCTTCTGTGTAATTTCATTTTCTTCAGCTTCTTGTTTCTTTTTGGCTTTTTGCTCGTGTTCTTCCCTCCTCAGTTTCTTTCTGTTTCCCTTGCTGTCTTTCCTGAAGTTCTTTTTCTTGTTTGTTTTTCTCCATTAGAAGAGCAGTTTCTGCATGAATATGAGCCTTTTCTTCATCTGTTAACATGAGAGTTGGAGAGGAAACTACTGGCTTGGTGGAACAATCAGGAATAACTTTTTCATTCTGAGGAGACTGTTGCTCATGATTTGTACTTTCAGATTTGATTATATGCTCTTCAGGCAATTTGACTGCCAGTTTTTTAGTATGATCAATCTGTGGAACATTCTTTATGCTAGGCACTGGCTGAATGATGGGTGAAACATCAGATTTAGAAGCAGCAACTGATTCAACTGGAATTGATATATTCAGTGGTCCTGTCCTCTCATTTTGATCATTATCACTTATTTGATCACTTATCAATTCTATGTCTTCATCCACTTTTATAGGTGGAGGTGGCATCTC
Organism: Homo sapiens; assembly: GCF_000001405.40. Taxonomy (NCBI): domain Eukaryota; kingdom Metazoa; phylum Chordata; class Mammalia; order Primates; family Hominidae; genus Homo; species Homo sapiens. The sequence goes on along the minus strand of NT_167249.2, from coordinate 2,578,356 downwards.
GGCAGCAGGTTTAGAAGGAATTGATTCTTCCAATGAGGGATAAGTAAAATCCAATGAGATAGACAACTCTTCATTCTGGTGTTGTGGGGGTGGAGTGACCTTAGCATTTGTTGTATACTGGGAATAGCAAAGGAACCAGTTTTTATAGCCTCCCTCTAAAACCAAAGGCCCAAGGCCCATTGCACAGGACAGTTTTACTTTCCCACTTGAAAAGTGCATCTTTCAGATGCCAGAGTGTTGTTCCAATCTGTAAATCTTTTGCAGAACTAAACCAGTCAAGAAGTACCATATACTCCACATTCCCCCTCTTCTTCCATGTATCTATAGAATCATCTGGGAGGTGTGCTTCAATCCAGCTAGCAGTGACTCCTGGACTGATGGCTTTTTCAGGAACACTGAGAGAATGTAAAATACAGGAATCCTGATAATCCTGCATTCTTTGAGCATCCATTATAATCAAGCTGATGTTTTTATCCATCATCATTGTGTATAGTTCCTTTGCTGTGATTGCTCCTTTCTCTTTGGTCTCACATTTTTCATTCTTTTCACCATTGCTCTTTTGGGTTTTGTCTTTGGAATCCAATACAATCTCCAAAGAACCTTTAGCCAACATGCTGCCATCCTCTCTTCCTGTTTCCTGCCTTTTTTGTTGTAGCCACTGTGCTTCCCCCTGCCTGTCCTTTTCCTCAAGTTTTTTCCAGATTTCAACTTCTTCATATCTTAGTTTAAGGCTTTCAGAGAGTCGTTCAGTTTCTCCAGTGGCTTTTTTGATGTTTGCAGGTCCAAGTATTGAATGGAAGTAATACTGCTGTTGCTTGAAATCAGTTCTTTTTTGGATAGGATTATAAACAGTCACGTTTCATATACGTGTGTGAGCTTTTTTTCATATGTTTCTTGGCCACGTAAATGTCTTCCTCTGAGAAGTGTCTGTTTATATCCTTTGCCCACTTTTTGATGGGGATGGGTTTTTTTCTTGTAAATTTGTTTAAGTTCCTTGTAAACAAACATGTGAGCTCTCATCATTCTTGTTTAAACACCTAACAGTCATCCTAACCAGTGCAACAAGGACCAGGCATGGTGGCTCATGCCTGTAATCCCTGCATTTTGGGAGGCTGAGGTGGGAGGATCACTTGAGATCAGGAGTTTGAGACCAGCCTGATAAGTGAGACCTCATCTCTACCAAATAATAATAATTTTAAAAGAAAAAAGATCAATGGATAAGAAAGGAAGAAATGAAAGTCTTTCTTTGTCACCAACTTCATTGTATATGTAGAAAACACTAGGGAATTCTGAAAAAGTCTCTGGAATTAATCATTGAATTTGCAAAATAGTTCATAAAATATATGTAATAAGTCGCTTAGATGAACATGAAAAGATAGCAAACAATACTAGTCATCAAAGAAGTGCAAGTTAAAACCACAATGAGAAACCATCACACATCACCTAGAGCAGATAAAGTTAAAAAGACATATGATAAGTCTTAACACTGGCAAGAATATGGAAAAAATAGGAATGTCTGATATTGCTGGTAGGAATGCAAAAAATGTGGCAGCCAATTTGTAAAGTGGTATGGCAGTTTCTTATACAGTTACCCATCTATTACCACATGGCCCAGCAATTCCACAAATACGTATTTATCCAAAAGAAATAAAAATGTAAGTCCACACTTGTAAGCAGTTATTTATAGTGGCTTCATTAATAACAAACCCTAACTGGAGGAATCCACATGTCTATCAACTGGAGACACAGAAACCAATGAATAAACTGGGATTCCAACAATACTCGGCAGCTGCTCAGCAACAAAAATGAATGAATGGCATCATCTCAAACATCGTTATGCTAAGGGAGAGACCAAACAAAAGACTACATAACATATGATTGCATGTCCATGAAATTCTAGAAATGTCACTATTGCAGTGACAGAAAGCACAGCAGTGGTTGAATGAAGGGAAGGGGGTGAGGGTGGGAGGCAAGGATTAAATAGAAAGGGGCATAAAGAAAGTTTTTAGGGAAAAGAAACTGTTCTCTACAGCGCCACAATTCAGGAGTGACTGGGAGGGGGAAGTAAGGGGAGAAGAAGGTCTGAGGGATAAGGGGCAGAGAGAAGGGCTGGGGAAGCAGGAGGAGAGGAGAAGGAGCAGGGGAAAGGACTCTAAAGCAGTGGAGGGGCCTAGTAGGAGGATCTTTGCATTTGGTGTTTCTCTACTGGGCAGTGTGGTAGTTACACTATAAATAATTACCAATATCCACCAAAAAGTGCAGCTAAAACTGGTGAATTTTTGTACACGTAAACGCCCTAATAAGCAAAAAAAAAAGGGGGGGGGGAGGGGGGAGGAAAGAAGGCAAAAATAAAGGCATTGTTAGATCATCAAACCCATAAAATTCATTTCCTAGGGGTCCTGTACTACATGTAATTTTAAAGGACGTTCTTCAGGCTGAAGGGAAATGATACTAAATGGTGACCCAGATATACAGAAAGGAACAATTAACAACAGAAATGATGCACATACACATATCACATACACACCCATTTTCTTAATTTCCTGAAGATATGTGACTGCTTGTCTAAAACAAAAAGTATTACACTGTATCGTTGAGTTTATAACGTATATTGATGTAACATATACAATAATAATAGCATAATGATAGTTTAAGTGAAACTACACCATTTGAAGTGTCCTTTATTTTGCTGGATGCAGCTTAATATTACCTGAATTTCACTGTGAAAAGTCAAGGAATTGGGTTTCAATTCTTACAACAATAAAAAATTAATGTAAAGAAATATAGCTAAAAGCCACTAGGAGAATTAAAACCATAAGCTAAAAAATGTTTACTTGACACATAAGAAAGTAGCAAAGGAGGAACAGAAACAAAAAGATATGAGACAAATTGAAAACATATAGCAAAATGGTAGACCAAAATCCAACCATTGTAAGTGAAGAAATGACACGACCTGAGTCACATTAGCAGGACTGCTGAGCACTGTGGGGAGAACAGACATGGGCAGGAGGTGAGGGACAGTGTTAGTGCCACAATTCAGGAGTGACAGGGTGGCGGGGACTAAAGGGGAAAGAGGGTGTGAGGGATGAGAGGGGCAGACAGAAGGGCTGGAGAAGCAGGAGGTGAGGAAAGGAGCAGAGGAAAGAATTCTAAAGCAGTAGAAGAGCCTGGCAGGGGGTTCTTTGCATTCGGTATTTAATACCTTTTGTGTGACTGCCTTAAAACTAATGGCCTCCTTATGATTTTTTTTAAAAAAGGGGTTACAAAAATATCAAGTGTCCAAATAAAATATGCACACTGCTTAGATGTGCATAGTTCCGGAAAACGGGCAGTGCTGGAGCGCTGGTGAAGAGCATTGGGACTGCATTGAGCCCTCGCAACTTTGAGGTGATGACTACAGGCTCCCGGTTGCAATAGACAGTAACAAACCCTGCTTCTTTGTATTCAGGAGATGTTCTGGACTCACACAAGGAAACTCGGGCTAGAGAATGAGGATAACTTTAAATGCAACAACCCAGAGTCACAGATCCATAGTCTGCGAAAGTAAAACAGGAGCTTTGAGAATTTAATTGTAATGCAGTTTTGACACAGGTCTTTCACAGATTGGAATTCTAATCATTCAGGGATTACCAATATTGTGCTACCTACTGTATCAATAAACAAAAAGGAAACTGGTCTCTATGAGAATCTCTACCTGGTGCTTTCAGACAAAACTTCACCAGGTTTAAAGAGAAAACTCCTGACTCTACACGTCCATTCCCAGGGCGAGCTCACTGTCTGGCATCAAGTTCCCCATGGTGAGTTTCCCTGTACAAGAGTCCAAGGGGAGAGGTAAGTGTCCTTTATTTTGCTGGATGTAGTTTAATATTACCTGAGGTAAGGTAAGGCAAAGAGTGGGAGGCAGGGAGTCCAGTTCAGGGACGGGGATTCCAGGAGAAGTGAAGGGGAAGGGGCTGGGCGCAGCCTGGGGGTCTCTCCCTGGTTTCCACAGACAGATCCTTGGCCAGGACTCAGGCACACAGTGTGACAAAGATGCTTGGTGTAGGAGAAGAGGGATCAGGACGAAGTCCCAGGTCCCGGGCGGGGCTCTCAGGGTCTCAGGCTCCAAGGGCCGTGTCTGCACTGGGGAGGCGCCGCGTTGAGGATTCTCCACTCCCCTGAGTTTCACTTCTTCTTCCAACCTGCGTCGGGTCCTTCTTCCTGAATACTCATGACGCGTCCCCAATTCCCACTCCCATTGGGTGTCGGGTTCTAGAGAAGCCAATCAGCGTCTCCGCAGTCCCGGTTCTAAAGTCCCCAGTCACCCACCCGGACTCGGATTCTCCCCAGACGCCGAGATGCGGGTCATGGCGCCCCGAACCCTCATCCTGCTGCTCTCGGGAGCCCTGGCCCTGACCGAGACCTGGGCCTGTGAGTGCGAGGTTGGGAGGGAAACGGCCTCTGCGGAGAGGAGCGAGGGGCCCGCCCGGCGAGGGCGCAGGACCCGGGGAGCCGCGCAGGGAGGAGGGTCGGGCGGGTCTCAGCCCCTCCTCGCCCCCAGGCTCCCACTCCATGAGGTATTTCTACACCGCCGTGTCCCGGCCCGGCCGCGGAGAGCCCCGCTTCATCGCAGTGGGCTACGTGGACGACACGCAGTTCGTGCAGTTCGACAGCGACGCCGCGAGTCCAAGAGGGGAGCCGCGGGCGCCGTGGGTGGAGCAGGAGGGGCCGGAGTATTGGGACCGGGAGACACAGAAGTACAAGCGCCAGGCACAGACTGACCGAGTGAACCTGCGGAAACTGCGCGGCTACTACAACCAGAGCGAGGCCGGTGAGTGACCCCGGCCCGGGGCGCAGGTCACGACCCCTCCCCATCCCCCACGGACGGCCCGGGTCGCCCCGAGTCTCCCGGTCTGAGATCCACCCCGAGGCTGCGGAACCCGCCCAGACCCTCGACCGGAGAGAGCCCCAGTCACCTTTACCCGGTTTCATTTTCAGTTTAGGCCAAAATCCCCGCGGGTTGGTCGGGGCTGGGGCGGGGCTCGGGGGACGGGGCTGACCACGGGGGCGGGGCCAGGGTCTCACACCCTCCAGAGGATGTATGGCTGCGACCTGGGGCCCGACGGGCGCCTCCTCCGCGGGTATAACCAGTTCGCCTACGACGGCAAGGATTACATCGCCCTGAATGAGGACCTGCGCTCCTGGACCGCCGCGGACAAGGCGGCTCAGATCACCCAGCGCAAGTGGGAGGCGGCCCGTGAGGCGGAGCAGCGGAGAGCCTACCTGGAGGGCACGTGCGTGGAGTGGCTCCGCAGATACCTGGAGAACGGGAAGAAGACGCTGCAGCGCGCGGGTACCAGGGGCAGTGGGGAGCCTTCCCCATCTCCTGTAGATCTCCCGGGATGGCCTCCCACGAGGAGGGGAGGAAAATGGGATCAGCGCTGGAATATCGCCCTCCCTTGAATGGAGAATGGGATGAGTTTTCCTGAGTTTCTTCTGAGGGCCCCCTCTGCTCTCTAGGACAATTAAGGGATGAAGTCCTTGAGGAAATGGAGGGGAAGACAGTCCCTGGAATACTGATCAGGGGTCCCCTTTGACCACTTTGACCACTGCAGCAGCTGTGGTCAGGCTGCTGACCTTTCTCTCAGGCCTTGTTCTCTGCCTCACGCTCAATGTGTTTAAAGGTTTGATTCCAGCTTTTCTGAGTCCTTCGGCCTCCACTCAGGTCAGGACCAGAAGTCGCTGTTCCTCCCTCAGAGACTAGAACTTTCCAATGAATAGGAGATTATCCCAGGTGCCTGTGTCCAGGCTGGCGTCTGGGTTCTGTGCCCCCTTCCCCACCCCAGGTGTCCTGTCCATTCTCAGGATGGTCACATGGGCACTGTTGGAGTGTCGCAAGAGAGATACAAAGTGTCTGAATTTTCTGACTCTTCCCGTCAGAACACCCAAAGACACACGTGACCCACCATCCCGTCTCTGACCATGAGGCCACCCTGAGGTGCTGGGCCCTGGGCTTCTACCCTGCGGAGATCACACTGACCTGGCAGCGGGATGGCGAGGACCAAACTCAGGACACCGAGCTTGTGGAGACCAGGCCAGCAGGAGATGGAACCTTCCAGAAGTGGGCAGCTGTGGTGGTGCCTTCTGGAGAAGAGCAGAGATACACGTGCCATGTGCAGCACGAGGGGCTGCCAGAGCCCCTCACCCTGAGATGGGGTAAGGAGGGGGATGAGGGGTCATGTGTCTTCTCAGGGAAAGCAGAAGTCCTGGAGCCCTTCAGCCGGGTCAGGGCTGAGGCTTGGGGGTCAGGGCCCCTCACCTTCCCCTCCTTTCCCAGGGCCATCTTCCCAGCCCACCATCCCCATCGTGGGCATCGTTGCTGGCCTGGCTGTCCTGGCTGTCCTAGCTGTCCTAGGAGCTGTGATGGCTGTTGTGATGTGTAGGAGGAAGAGCTCAGGTAGGGAAGGGGTGAGGAGTGGGGTCTGGGTTTTCTTGTCCCACTGGGAGTTTCAAGCCCCAGGTAGAAGTGTGCCCCACCTCGTTACTGGAAGCACCATCCACACATGGGCCATCCCAGCCTGGGACCCTGTGTGCTAGCACTTACTCTGTTGTGAAGCACATGACAATGAAGGACAGATGTATCACCTTGATGATTATGGTGTTGGGGTCCTTGATTCCAGCATTCATGAGTCAGGGGAAGGTCCCTGCTAAGGACAGACCTTAGGAGGGCAGTTGCTCCAGAACCCACAGCTGCTTTCCCCGTGTTTCCTGATCCTGCCCTGGGTCTGCAGTCATAGTTCTGGAAACTTCTCTTGGGTCCAAGACTAGGAGGTTCCCCTAAGATCGCATGGCCCTGCCTCCTCCCTGTCCCCTCACAGGGCATTTTCTTCCCACAGGTGGAAAAGGAGGGAGCTGCTCTCAGGCTGCGTGTAAGTGATGGCGGTGGGCGTGTGGAGGAGCTCACCCACCCCATAATTCCTCTTGTCCCACATCTCCTGCGGGCTCTGACCAGGTCTTTTTTTTTGTTCTACCCCAGCCAGCAACAGTGCCCAGGGCTCTGATGAGTCTCTCATCGCTTGTAAAGGTGAGATTCTGGGGAGCTGAAGTGGTCGGGGGTGGGGCAGAGGGAAAAGGCCTAGGTAATGGGGATCCTTTGATTGGGACGTTTCGAATGTGTGGTGAGCTGTTCAGAGTGTCATCACTTACCATGACTGACCTGAATTTGTTCATGACTATTGTGTTCTGTAGCCTGAGACAGCTGCCTGTGTGGGACTGAGATGCAGGATTTCTTCACACCTTTCCTTTGTGACTTCAAGAGCCTCTGGCATCTCTTTCTGCAAAGGCATCTGAATGTGTCTGCGTTCCTGTTAGCATAATGTGAGGAGGTGGAGAGACAGCCCACCCCCGTGTCCACCGTGACCCCTGTCCCCACACTGACCTGTGTTCCCTCCCCGATCATCTTTCCTGTTCCAGAGAAGTGGGCTGGATGTCTCCATCTCTGTCTCAACTTTACGTGTACTGAGCTGCAACTTCTTACTTCCCTACTGAAAATAAGAATCTGAATATAAATTTGTTTTCTCAAATATTTGCTATGAGAGGTTGATGGATTAATTAAATAAGTCAATTCCTGGAAGTTGAGAGAGCAAATAAAGACCTGAGAACCTTCCAGAATCCGCATGTTCGCTGTGCTGAGTCTGTTGCAGGTGGGGGTGGGGAAGGCTGTGAGGAGACGAGTGTGGACGGGGCCTGTGCCTAGTTGCTGTTCAGTTCTTCATGGGCTTTATGTGGTCAGTCCTCAGCTGGGTCACCTTCACTGCTCCATTGTCCTTGTCCCTTCAGTGGAAACTTGTCCAGCGGGAGCTGTGACCACAGAGGCTCACACATCGCCCAGGGCAGCCCCTGCACACGGGAGTCCCTGTGCTTTCTGAGACAAATTTTCAGACCCATTCAGCTCCTGCCCTCCTTCTAGGGCTCCTCTTCTGCTTTGGTCTCCTGCCCTCTCTCCCTTCCCTGATTCCAGTAATCTTCGTGCTGACTCCAATCCCAACTCATGAATCTAAAGCAGAGCCTAATTTAGATTTATATTTGTTTGTAAAATTGGGTCCATAGTCTAGAATTGTTCCTTCCTGAAGAGAGAAACCTGATTGTGTGCTGCAGTGTGCGGGGCGGTTGGTGTGGGAGGAGGGATAGGGGAGGGAGGACACACAAGCAGCCCTGCTGAGAAAAGTACAGGCGGCCTCGGTGTCAGTGTGAGGGGACCTTGTGCTGCAGCTGCCACAAAACAGCACTTGGCCTGAGGCTATGTTAATAAAGATACTGGCTTTAGAATAGGAGGTGCTCTACACTGATCATTCAACTGACCTTTGTTGTCAGCCAGACACAGGACAGAAAAGTTCTGCATCTGGGGAACACCATTGAAGTAAAATCGGAAAAATATCTGAGCATATGCTTCAGTGGTAAGAGGCAGACGATACATACACTATAACCACAGTAAGAAAAGAAAGTGATGGAAGGTGGTAAGTGCCATGAGGCAGGTGATCCGGGTATGGGCAGTGGGGACAGGGAAGGTGGCTGTTGGACAGGAGTTGTCAATGTGTGGCTTGTTGCAAAGATGACCTTTGAGGAAAGATTTGAGGGACATGAGGATGTCTGGGGAAGTTCTTTCTAGGCAAGGAAACTCCAGTCCAAATGCACTAGGGCAGGAAGGTGTCTGTGTTCCCAGAAGAGCAAGGAGGCCAGGAGGGCTGGACAGAGAAACTAGATGAGGTCAGAGGTATGGCCAGAGCAGGTGGGCTTGAGGGGAGTGGGGTTGCGTCTGACCTCTGCTCTGAGTGGGATGGGGGAGTTAGAGGACAGTTTGGAGCAGAAGAGAGCCATGATATGACTTCTTTCTTAAAAGGATCTCTGATGGCTGTGCTGAGAACAGAATTGAGAGGTGAGGGATGAGGGAGGCAGAAGGGAAAACAGTAGGAATCGAGTGCAGTATTCCAGGCTGGAGATGTCTGGGGTGTGAGCACAGGAAATAGTGGGACGTGAGGGGATTCTGGATGCATTTGAAGATGGACTCACAGCATTTGCCAATGGATTGTATCTGTGGTGTGAGAAAGACGAATCAAGGACACCCATAGTTGTAAAATGAGTGAGTAGAAGGAAGGGTGGAGCTGCTGTCAGTGGAGATGGGGAGACTCTGGCAGGAGCATCCTGAGGAGGGGGCATCACAGGCACTCAGTGGAGGAGATGTCTACTAGGAATGCAGGTGGGGGAGCTGGGGTGGCAGCTGGGCAGACAACTCCACAGTTCAGGGGAAAGGACTGGGCTGGAGAAATAGATTTAGGAGCTCACACCACATAAACAATACTTAAAACCTCAAGCATGGATGAAGCACCAAGGGAGTGATTGACTGTGGAAAAGAATCAGCGCAAGGACTGAACCCTGGACCTCCAGTTCTAAGGGATCTGATCAGACCACAGAGCAGACTGCACAGTTCTGGCCCCACGTCTAGAGGACGCTTAGACAAGGAACTCCCGTGTGCACCAGGATCACCTGGATGTGGTGCTGAGATCCAGGAAGTCTGGAGTCGAGCAAGGGATTCTGGATTTATGACAAGGCTGGAGCTCACATTGCTGGTCTCCAGATCACACTTGGAGTAGCCAGAACACCAGGACCCCACGTCTGCATCGGCCTCGCCTGTAGGGCTTGTTATGTAAATGATTCCTTGGTCTTGTGCATAATATTGTGAGACAGGGGTTCTGAGGAGTGGCCTGAGTATTTTCTAAGCCTCCACCAGAAATCTTGTTGCTCAGCCAGATCAGGAACCTCAGAGATCAGAGAGTGCCCAGGGTGGGTGGGTGGGTTTTCAAACCCTGTTTAAAAGAGGATTTTTCTTGCAGAAAGGAAAGGGAGGATGTATATCATCAGTTAAGAGATGTGATAATCCCTGTTGATCTCTCCACCATGAGGTAGAGGCCAGGTAGACAATTCAGGATGTGGCTGTCACACAAGGAACACCTCCGAATGCTGCTCTCTGACCCTGGTCCATAGATTCATTTCTCACTCACCTCTTGGAGAAAACTATGGAAAACAAATTTCTGTAATTTATACATAAAGTAGTATACCTGGTATTGGGGGTTAATTTTATTGTGGGGAAGGCCACAGAACCAGGCTGAAAACTACACATCCCAGAAAAGAATCCATAGCCCACGCCCCTGGATCAGGTCCCTCCTAGGAACAACTGCCCCTGCTGCTGAGCACAGACACCACTGCTCATACCTCTGACATCCTGGTGCTGGACACTGGACCCCAAGGCTAGGATAGATGTCACTGCTGCCCCTGGCAACTGGACATCACTACTGACACTCAGCCATGTTTACTAAAATGCATTCTGCACAATCCCAGCCTTTCTGTGTCACCTCATTCTAGCTCAGAGTCTGGCAGTGATATAGGATTTAAGAAGAAATTATTTAGGCAGGTAGTGAGGGTACAGAAGTCTCAGTAAGGTTTTCTTTTTAATGGAAAGCAGGCCCCAAATCGTTTTCTTTTCTGACAAAGACCAGCCTGTAAAATCAAGCTTCAGACATAGACAAGCAAGCTGGAAGCTTGCACGAGTGAATGCTGGCAGCTGTGCCAATAGGAAAAGGACATCTGGGACTAGGCGTGTTCACAATGATGGCTCCATCTTCCCTTCTTTTTGCCAGCCATGTGTTCAGTAAAGAGCAGACAACATAGCACCGGCCAATAAACTCACTCCTTGTGTGTCACTGTCCTTAATCTTCTTGGTGAGATACAATGAACCCTGAGTATTTACCTGAGACAACAATGCTGCTTCAGCAGGTGGTCATCTGACTGATGGAGTTTAAGACTCATGTCCATTATCAACTGCAGGGGTGACTGGAGTGTTGTGCTCTTCTAGGGATGGGGGTGGTTTCTATCTCCTCTTAACACTTTACATGTTGTAAACCGAAAATAAACTTCAAACCCACCCTCTCCCAACCATCTTAATGGACACCCTCCTCAGCCAGGGCGCTCAAAAATTAACTTGAAAGACTGGCTCAGGCCACCATGGGAAGCAGGTGTTGAACATGCCTCATTATGGCCTCTTCCCTTTTGAAATTCAGGAAAAGCTGACCAGCAATTAACATCAACACAGACCTTAAGTCTGATCAGAAACATTATAATCTATTCTCTCTGAAGCCTGGCACCTGGAGGCTTCAACTGCATGATAAAATTTTGGACTCCACAACCTCTTATCATAACCCAGACATTGCTTTTTATTGATAATAACTCAACCAATTGCCAATCAGAACATTTTAAAATCTACCTATAACCTAGAAGCAGTAACCCCCAACCCTTGCTTGCTTCAAATTGTTCTGCTTTTCTGGACTGAACCAATGTATATCTTAAATATATATTATTAGTGTCTCATATCTTCCTAAAATGTATAAAACCAACCCATACCCCAACCACATTGAGCACATGCTCTCAGGGTCTCCTGAGGGACGTGTCATGGGCTGTGGTCACTCGTATTTGGCTCAGAATAAATCTCTTCAAATATTTTATGAAGTTTGCCTCTTTTCATTGACAGTGTGGAATTCTGATGTAGTAAGAGGGTTCAAGTGCTGGAGTGTGAAGGATGGGAAAAGAATGATAAATTTTAATTATTGGAGCAGTGCTCCAAGACAAGAAATTTATCTAGTATCTGGTAGGGATTCAGAGTGTCTGAATGAACTGGTGACTAATAAATAACATCTTTCCACCCATTCCCTTGAAAATAAGTTATTACATCAAGTTTTTGTCTATCCCAGTTCATACTCCAGATTATTGGAGTGGCATGGTGTGATGGTGAAATGATTATTCACACATCTTCCCTTGGCATTGTCTCTTACTGGGATTAAAACACCCAGGTTTATAAGATCTCAGAGGATCTGGTTGCACACTGATGTTTTATATTAATATTTATATTTTCTTGTGTGTGGAAATATTTCTGGGGAGAGAATCTCTGACACTTATTAGTTTTTATGTGACCCCCTCAAAGGCCTAAAAAATCCTAACTTCTAGATTAGAGGTAGGGCCACTCCATGTCTGGACAATGAACAGCTGGTAGAAACCTGTGTTTAGCAGACTTAGGGACATGAAATAAATGCTTAATTTTTTTTTATCTTTTCCTCTGGGACCGAAGAAGGTAGAGGTTTACTTGCTTACTCTTACTGTTGTTGCGGGAAGTCAAGGACCCCGAATGAGGGACTGGCTGGAGCTGTGGCAGAGGAACATAAATTGTGAAGATTTCATTTTAATATGGACATTTAACAGTTCCCAAATAATACTTTTATAATTTCTTATGCCTGTCTTTACTTTAATCTCTTAATCCTGTTATCTTCATAAGCTGAGGATGTACGTCACCTTAGGACCACTGTGATAATTGTGTTACAATTTGATTGTAAAACGTGTGTTTGAACAATATGAAATCAGTGCACCTTGAAAAAGAATAGAATAACAGCAATTTTTATGGAACAAGGGAAGACAACCATAAGGTCTGACTGCCTGCGAGGTTGGGCAAAAACAGCCATATTTTTCTTCTTGCGCAGAGCCTATAAACAGACGTGCAAGTAGGAAAGATATCACTAAATTCTTTTCCTAGCAAGGAATATTAATATTAATACACTGGAGAAGGAATTCATTCCTGGGGGGAGGTCTATAAACGGCCGCTCTGGGAATGTCTGTCTTATGCAGTTGAGATAAGGACTGAGATATGCCCTGGTCTCCTGCAGAACCCTCAGGCTTACTAGGGTGGGGAAAAACTCTGCCCTGGTAAACTTGTGGTCTGACCACTTCTCTGCTCTCAAACCCTGTTTTCTGTTGTTTAAGATGTTTATCAAGACAATACGTGCACTGCTAAACATAGACCCTTATCAGTGGTTCTGCTTTTGCCCTTTGTCTTGTTCCCTCAGAAGCATGTGATCTTTGTTAGACTCTTATTAGTAGTTCTGCTTTTTGCACTCAGAAGCATGTGACTTTTTACCTACTCCTTGTTCTTACACCCCCTCCCCTTTTGAAACCCTTAATAAAAACTTGTTGGTCTGAGACTCAGGCAGACATCACGGTCCTACCGATATGTGATGTCACCCCTGGTGGCCCAGCTGTAAAATTCCTCTCTTTGTACTGTCTTTCTTTATTTCTCAGCTGGCCGACACTTATGGAAAATAGAAAGAACCTATGTTGAAATATTGGGGGTGGGTTCCCCCAATATACTGTAAGTTTCTCTCTGTGGGATGGTGATGGGGTTTTCCTCCAGCCAAATAATTTTCTGATTCTCCAACAGCAATTGGGAGTCCTAGAATTTGACTCAATTCTGACACTAACTACCTGGAGTTAGCCTCAGACTCCACAGGTTTAAGGACTCAGTCCCACAAGTCTGTCCTCACTTCAGATGCAAGTCACAAGTTATCGGGTTCCAGGTTACCTGCACTTCTGTCTATCATGGCTGCAAAGTCAGGGGTTTCTCACCTCCCAAGGTTTGGGAATTCTTAAACTAACTCATAGAACTCAGGAAGTTGCTATAACCATGTAAACCAAAAAACATCTGAGACAGGTATCAATCAATTTAGAAGTTTATTTTGCCAAGCTGAAGATGTACCTTGGAAACAGAGACACAAATTATTGTAGCATCTGTGGCCCATGCTTTTTACTAACAGGGTTTTGAGGACTTTAATATTTACAGGAGAAAGAGCAGGCAGGAGAGGAAAAAGGAACAGTCAACTATGCTTTCATCGAGTGCTCAGTAAATCTGCATTTTACATAAGACAAAGTAAATGTTGGGTAGAGAAGTCAAATACACATTTGTCTCCAGGTGAGTGGAGGGATGATTTCTGGTCTTGTCTTTGTCCTTCACCTGTGAAGATAAGCTGTTAATTTACATTGTTAGGGTGAAATTCAACAAAACTCTGTTTTAGAGTAAAGATGTTGGGGCCCACAAGGAATTATCTTGTGAGCAATTTGTGAGGGAGGCCACCTGGGGAGATATATGTTCCTCTATCTTTGCAGTTATTTGTTTAGGAACAAAAGAAAGGTGGTTTTTCCATCACTCAGTTACCAAACTTAACTTGTCCCTTTGGTATAGTGAATTTGGCGTCCCTAAATTTTATTTTTCTTTCACACTCAGTATTGTAGTTTATTATTGTTATAGCTTAAATCAGTGGTCCCAACTTTTTGGCACCAGGGACCAATTTCATGGAAGACAGTTTTTCCATGGACCAGCAGAGGTGGCAGGGAATAGAGGGGAATGGATTGAGGATGAAACTGTTCCACCTCAGATGATCAGGCATTACTGTTTCATATGGAGCATGCAACCTAGATCCCTCACATGCAGAGTTCACAATAGGGTTCATGCTCTTATGAGAATCTAATTCCGCCACTGATCTGACAGGAGGCAGAGCTCAGGTGGTCATGCTCATGCTCTCTCACCCACCAGTGACCTCCTGCTGTGTGGTCTGGTTCCTGCCAAGCCAGGAACCTGTACCAGTCCACAGCCGGGGGTTACGGACTCTTGGTTTAAATTATGCCACTATAGTAGAACACCTGAGACTGGATAACTTAAAACGAACAGAAATTTATTTGGTTCATGGTTGTTGAGGATGGGAATTCCAAGACCAAGGACTGTACCTGGTAGAAAGCAAAAGGGCAAGAGAGGGTGAGAGGTAGGGGGAATAAGAGGTCAAACTCACAGCCTCAGGTCCTTTTATGATCAGACTTAATTCATTAATGGAGGCAGAGCTCTGATGGTCCAATCACCTCCCAAAGGTCCCGCCTCTTAAAAATGTTGCATTCAGGATAAATTATCCAAGAGATGCTTTTCTAGGGAAACATTCAAACCATAGCAGTTATAAAGGGTACAAATGAGCAACCAGATGAAGAGGTGCACAGGGTGTGGTCTGGGAGGGCTCTGAGCACAGGAGCCTCTGTCCCCATGGAGATGAGGTTCACCATCCTCCCAGCACATGGACACATGGATGTGCTCAGCAATTGGGAAGCTCTCCAAAACCCAATCTCTAGAGGTTTCTATGGAAGTTTCATTGTGTAGGCAAGATTAATTAAATCAATGGCCACTGGTGACTGAACTCAACTTCCAGCCCCCTTTGCTTCTCAGAGTTAAGGGATAGTGCTGAAATTTCCAATCCTCTAATCACAGCTTCGTGTTTCTGGCAACCAGCCCCCATCCTGAAGCTATTTAGGAGCCTCTCACCCCATAGTCATCTCATTGGCATATTAAAGTCATACTTATCACTGAGGAGATTGCAAATGTTTTGGAACCTGCTTGTCAGGAAACAGGGAAAAAGACCAGATATTTTGATTGGGCCACAGATCACACCCTGGTCTTTGACCACATTATCTCTTTTTATAATATTTATTTATTTCAGAGACAAGGTCTTGCTCTGTTGCCCAGGGTAGAATGCAGTGGCACAATCATAGCTCATTGTAACCTTGAATTCCTGAGCTCAAGTGATCCTCCTGCCTCAGCCTCCTGAGCAATAGCATTACAGGTACACACCAGCATGCCCAACTAATTTTTTAAAGATTTTGTAGGAATGGGGTCTCACTATTTTGCCCCGGTTGGTCTCAAACTCCTGGCCTTAAACAATCCTCTTACCATGGCCTCCGAAACTGATGGAATTACAAGTCTGAGCCACTGTGCCTGGCCAATCACAGATCTCCTATACCAGAAGAATCATAACAGTGAGAAGATCCTGGCACATTACCAGAATCCTTTTTGGTCATGAAAAATTATCCCAGGGGAGATCGTTCCAAGATAGCCAAATAGGAACAGCTCCAGTCTACAGCTCCCAGCGTGAGCGGTGCAGAAGATGGGTGATTTCTGCATTTCCAACTGAGGTACTGGGTTCATCTCATTGGGACTTGTCACACAGTGGGAGCTGCCCACAGAATGTGAGCTGAAGCAGGGCAAGGCATTGCCTCACCAGGGAAGCACAAGGGCTCGGAGAATTCCCTTTCCTAGCCAAGGGAAGCCATGAGAGATGGTACCTGGAAAATCGGGACACTCCCACCCTAATACTGTGCTTTTCCAACAGTTGTAGTGAATGGCACACCAGGAGATTATATCCCATGCCTGGCTCAGTGGGTCTCACACCCATGGAGCATTGCTTACTGCTAGCACAGCAGTCCAAAATTGAACTGGGAGGTGACAGTGAGGCTGGGGGAGGGGCGTCTGCCATTGCTGAGGCTTGACTAGGTAAACAAAGTGGCAGGAAGCTCAAACTAGGTGGAGCCCACTGCAGCTCAACAAGGCCTGCCTGCCTCTGTAGACTCCACCTCTGGGGGCAGGGCATAGCTGAACAAAAGGCAGCAGAAACTTCTGCAGACTTAAATGTCCCAGTCTGACAGCTTTGAAGAGAGCAGTGGTTCTGCCAGCATGGAGTTTGAGATCTGAGAACGGACAGAGTGCCTCCTCAAGTGGGTCGCTGACCTCTGAGTAGCCTAACTGGGAGACACCTCCCAGTAGGGACCGAATGACACCTCATACGGCTGGGTGCCCCTCTGAGACGAAACTTCCAGAGGAAGGATCAGGCAGCAACATTTGCTGTTCTGCAATATTTGCTGTTCTGAAGCCTCTGCTAGTGTTACCCAGGCAAACAGGGTCTGGAGTGGACCTCCAGCAAACTCCAATAGACCTGCAGCTGAGGGTCCCAACTGTTAGAATGAAAACTAACAAACAGAAGGAATAACATCAACAAAAGGGACATCTACACCAAAACCCCATCTGTAGGTCACCATCATCAAAGACCAAAGGTAGATAAAACCACAAAGATGGGGAGAAACCAGAGCAGAAAAGCTAAAAATTCTAAAAATCAGAGCACCTGTTCTCCTCCAAAGGATCGCAACTCCTCCCTAGCAAGGGAACAAAGCTGGATGGAGAATGACTTTGACAAGTTGACAGAAGTAGACTTCAGAAGATTGGTAATAACAAACTTCTCTGAGCTAAAGGAGGATGTTCGAACCCATCGCAAGGAAGCTAAAAACCTTGAAAAAAGATTAGATGAATAGTTAGCTAAAATAAACAGCATAGAGAAGAACTTAAATGACCTGATGGAGCTGAAAACCATGGCATGAGAACTACATGACGCATGCACAAGCTTCAGTAACCAATTCGATCAAGTGGAAGAAAGGGTATCGGTGATTGAAGATCAAATGAATGAAATGAAGCAAGCAGAGAAGTTGAGAGAAAAAAGAGTAAAAAGAAATGAACAAAGCCTCCAAGAAATATGGGACTATGTGAAAAGACCAAATCTACATTTGATTGGTGTACCTGAAAATGACAGAGAGAATGGAACCAAGTTGGAAAACACTTTTCAGGATATTATCCAGGAGAACTTCCCCAACCTAGCAAGGCAGGCCAACATTCAAATTCGTGAAATACAGAGAACGCCACAAAGATACTCCTCAAGAAGAGCAACCCAAAGACACATAATTGTCAGATTCAATAAGGTTGAAATGAGGGAAAAAATGTTAAGGGCAGCCAGAGAGAAAGATCAGGTTACCCACAAAGGGAAGCCCATCAGACTAACAGTGGATCTCTTGGCAGAAACTCTACAAGCCAGAAGCGAGTGGGGGCCAATATTCAACATTCTTAAAGAAAAGAATTTTCAACCCAGAATTTCATAACCAGCCAAACTAAGCTTCATAAGTGAAGGAGAAATAAGAGCCTTTACAGACAAGCAAATGCTGAGAGGTTTTGTCACCACCAGGCCTGCCTTACAAGAGCTCCTGAAGGAAGCACTAACATGGAAAGGAACAACCAGTACCAGCCACTGCAAAAATATGCCAAATTGTAAAGACTATCGATGCTAGGAAGAAACTGCAACTAACGGGCAAAATAACCAGCTAACATCATAACGATAGGGTCAAATTCACACATAACAATATTAACCTTAAATGTAAATGGGCTAAATGCCCCAATTAGAAGACACAGACTGGCAAATTGGATAAAGAGTCAAGACCCATCAGTGTGCTGTATTCAGGAAACCCATCTCACGTGCAGAGACACACATAGGCTCAAAATAAAGGAATGGAGGAAGATCTACCAGGCAAATGGAAAACAAAAAAAGCAGGGGTTGCAATCCTAGTCTCTGATAAAACAGACTTTAAACCAACAAAGATCAAAAGAGACAAAGAAGGCCATTACGTAATGGTAAAGGAATCAATTCAACAAGAAGAGCTAACTATCCTAAATATATATGCACCCAATACAGGAGCACCCAGATTCATAAAGCAAGTCCTTAGAGAACTACAAAAAGACTTAGACTCCCACACAATAATAATGGGAGACTTTAACACCCCACTGTCAACATTAGACAGATCAACGAGACAGAAAGTTAACAAGGATATCCAGGACTTGAACTCAGCTCTGCACCAGGCAGACTTAATAGACATCGACAGAACTCTCCACCCCAAATCAACAGAAAATACCTTCTTCTCAGCACCATATCGCACTTATTCCAAAATTGACCACATAGTTGGAAGTAAAGCACTCCTCAGCAAATGTAAAAGAATAGAAATTATAACAAACTGTCTCTCAGACCACAGTGCAATCAAATTAGAACTCAGGATTAAGAAACTCACTCAAAACCACTGAACTACATGGAAACTGAACAACCTGCTCCTGAATGACTACTGGGTACATAACGAAATGAAGGTAGAAATAAAGATGTTCTTTGAAACCAATGAGAACAAAGACACAACATACCAGAATCTCTGGGACACATTTAAAGCAGTGTGTAGAGGGAAATTTGTAGCACTAAATGCCTGCAAGAAAAAGCAGGAAAGATCTAAAATCGACAGCCTAACATCACAATTAAAAGAACTGGAGAAGCAAGAGCAAACACATTCAAAAGCTAGCAGGAGACAAGAAATAACTAAGATTAGAGCAGAACTGAAGAAGATAGAGACACAAAAAACCCTTCAAAAAATCAATGAATCCAGCAGCTGTTTTTTTTGTAAAGATCAACAAAATTGATAGACCATTAGCAAGACTAATAAAGAAGAAAAGAGAGAAGAATCAAATAGACACAATAAAAAATGATAAAGGGGATATCACCACCAATCCCACAGAAATACAAACTACCATCAGAGAATACTATAAACATCTCTATGCAAATAATCTAGAAAATCTAGAAGAAATGGATAAATTCCTGGACACATACACCCTCCCAAGACTAAACCAGGAAGAAGTTGAATCCCTGAATAGATCAATAATAGGCTCTGAAATTGAGGCAATAATTAATAGCCTACCAACCAAAAAAAGTCCAGGACCAGATGGATTCACAGCCAAATTCTAACAGAGGTTCAAAGAGGAGCTGGTACCATTCCTTCTGAAATTATTCCAATCAATAGAAAAAGAGGGAATCCTCCCTAACTTATTTTATGAGGTTGGCATCATCCTGATACCAAAGCCTGGCAGAGACACAACAAAAAAAAAGAGAATTTTAGACCAATATCCCTGATGAACATGGATGCAAAAATCCTCAATAAAACACTGGCAAACCGAATCCAGCAGCACATCAAAAAGCTTATCCACCATGATCAAGTGGGCTTCATCCCTGGGATGCAAGGCTGGTTCAACATACACAAATCAATAAACATAATCCAGCATATAAACAGAACCAAAGACAAAAACCACATGATTATTTCAATAGATGCCAAAAAGACCTTCAACAAAATTCCACAGCCCTTCATGCCAAAAACTCTCAATAAACTAGGTATTGATGGGACGTATCTCAAAATAATAAGAGCTATTTATGACAAACCCACAGCCAATATCATACTGAATGGGCAAAAACTGGAAGCATTCCCTTTGAAAACTGGCACAAGACAGGGATGCCCTCTCTCACCACTCCTACTCAACATAGTGTTGGAAATTCTGGCCAGGGCAATCAGACAAGAGAAAGAAATAAAGGGTATTCAATTAGGAAAAGAGGAAGTCAAATTGTCCCTGTTTGCAGATGACATGATTGGATGTTTAGAAAACCCCATCATCTCAGCCCAAAATCTCCTTAAGCTGATAAGCAACTTCAGCAAAGTCTCAGGATACAAAATCCATGTGCAAAAATCACAAGTATTCCTATACACCAATAACAGACAAACAGAGAGCCAAATCATGAGTGAACTCCCATTCACAATTGCTTCAAAGAGAATAAAATACCTAGGAATCCAACTTACAAGGGATGTGAAGGACCTCTTCAAGGAGAACTACAAACCACTACTCAACGAAATAAAAGAGGACATAAACAAATGGAAGAACATTCCATGCTCATGAATAGGAAGAATCAATGTCGTGAAAATGGCCATACTGCCCAAGGTAATTTATAGATTTAATGCCATCCCCATCAAGCTACCAATGACTTTCTTCACAGAATTGGAAAAAACTACTTTAAAGTTCATATGGAACCAAAAAAGAGCCTGCATTGCCAAGACAATCCTAAGCCAAAAGAACAAAGCTGGAGGCATCACGCTACCTGACTTCAAACTATATTACAAGGCTACAGTAACAAAAACAGCATGGTACTGGAACCAAAACAGAGATATAGACCAATGGAACAGAACAGAGCCCTCAGAAATAATATCACACATCTACAACTATCTGATCTTTGACAAACCTGACAAAAACAAGAAATGGGGAAAGGATTCCCTATTTAATAAATGGTGCTGGGAAAACTGGCTAGCCATAGTAGAAAGCTGAAACTGGATCCCTTCCTTAGACCTTATACAAAAATTAATTCAAGATGGATTAAAGACTTAAATGTTCGACCTAAAATCATAAAAACCCTAGAAGAAAACCTAGGCAATACCATTCAGGACATAGACATGGGCAAGGACTTCATGACTGAAACACCAAAAGCAATAGCAACAAAAGCCAAAATTGACAAATGGGATTTAATTAAACTAAAGAGCTTCTGCACAGCAAAAGAAACTACCATCAGAGTGAACAGGCAACCTACAGAATGGGAGAAAATTTTTGTAATCTACCCATCTGACAAAGGACTAATATCCAGAATCTACAAAGAACTTAAACAAATTTACAAGAAAAAATCAAACAACCCCATCAAAAAGTGGGCAAAGGATATGAACAGACACTTCTCAAAAGAAGACATCTATGCAGCCAACAGACACATGAAAAAATGCTCATCATCACTGGTCATCAAAGAAATGCAAATCAAAACCAAAAGGAGATACTATCTCACACCAGTTAGAATGGCAATCATTAAAAAGTCAGGAAACCACAGGTGCTGGAGAGCATGTGGAGAAATAGGAACACTTTTACACTGTTGGTGGGAGTGTAAGCTAGTTCAACCATTGTGGAAGACAGTGTGGCAATTCCTCAAGGATCTAGAACTAGAAATACCATTTGACCCAGCCATCCCATTACTGGGTATATACCCAAAGGATTATAAATCATGCTACTATAAATGCACATGTATGTTTATTGCACTATTCACAATAGAAAATACTTGGAACCAACCCAAATGTCCATCAGTGATAGACTGGATTAAGAAAATGTGGCACATAAGCCGGGTGCAGTGGCTCATACCTGTAATCCCAGCACTTTGGGAGGCTGAGGTGGGTGGATCACGAGGTCAGGAGATCAAGACCATCCTGCCTAATACAGTGAAAACCCATCTGTACTAAAAATACAAAAAAATTAGCTGGTCATGGTGGCGGGTGCCTATAGTCCCAGCTACTTGGGAGGCTGAGGCAGGAGAATGGCATGAACCCAGGAGGCAGAGCTTGCAGTGAGCGAGATCGCACCACTGCACTCCAGCCTGGGCGACAGAGCGAGACTCCATCTCAAAAAGAAAAAAGAAAAAAAGAAAATGTGTCACAAATACACCATGGAATACTATGCAGCCATAAAAAAGGACGAGTTCATGTCCTTTGCAGGGATGTGGATGAAGCTGGAAACCATCATTCTGAGCAAACTATCACAAGGACAGAAAACCAAACACCGCATGTTCTCACCCATAGGTGGGAATTGAACAATCAGAACACTTGAACTCAGGGTGGGGAATATTACACACCAGGGCCTGTCATGGGGTGGGGACAGGGGGGAGGGATAGCATTAGGAGAAATACCTAATGCAAATGACGAGTTAATGGGTGCAGCACACCAACATGGCACATGTACACATAGGTAACAAACCTGCATGTTGTGCACATGTACCCTAGAACTTAAAGTATAATAAAAAAAAATTATCCCGGTGCAGCCCAAAAACAGAAGTAGTCTCAGCAACATAAGGCTGCACCCGTTCAGGCATTTGGTAAAATTGAGTTAAGAGACAATATCATCTCTTGCTTATATCTCTTTTGAGTAGTTCATGTAACATTGGATTTTCCTCATTGCATAACCCATTTATTCATTCATTTACCCTCAGCTACTATTTCTCCTTCTCTTCATTTATACCAAACATTTCTAGTTATGGAAGGGACATGAGGTTCTGCTGCTGTGCTGACCTAGACTGCACGGACCAATACTGTTCTAGCAATTGTCTTGCATCATCCATTCCAGTTCATAGAGGGTAGGGTTATGCAGTAGAGAACTGGTTGGCTAGCTGACCCCAGGCAATACAGCTGCATTCAGTGTTAACCCCAACTTTGCCAGATGCACTGAAGGCACAACCTACTTCTCTAGACCCTTAGGAATCATTACATAATGGACACAAAATATATTTACAGTTTCTTGCTTAGGAATAATTCCTGTTTCTGGACTTTTATTTGCATCCCTAGTCCTGAGACCACTGCATCAGGTATGAGAAAAGCAAGTTGAGGTAAAGTACAGTCGTCATTCCAGTGTCCTCCCACCTTGGGAAGGATTGTATATAGATCACACCAGCACCTTCCCCTGATCCACAAGGAAAAGAGAGGATACTTTCATATCAAGTGTAAGCACACTCATGAAGGTGTGTAAGCCCACCCTTCATGCTTGTTTCCCCACTCTTGCTTTATACAACCAATGTTTCAATGGAATATTTTAATTCTTTATGGAACTCTTCCTCTGAGAAGGATGTCTTTCTGGAATTTTGAGCAAGCGCATTTTCTGGTGTAAAGAAATGTGACTCAGTGGTCCACATGGTTGCAGTACCTCCCATTCAAGCTCTTAGTAGCACTCTGAGCATTTGCATCTGAGATAAAGCAGGGACCTCTCTTAGAAGCCTGCCAGGGCCTCCCAACATGGAAATAAAGAAAAACCTTCAGTTCCTTCAAAAGAAATTCCAGGCACCTAGCCAGCCCTAAAAAGTAAGTGAGTGACCTTATAAACAAGAAGGTAATGATAGCTTAAAACGATAGCCAAGGAAGTTAGAGTCACAAGATGTTGGATTCTCTATGGAAACTAAAGAGAACATCTTAATATATGTCCCTGAGTTGTTTTTCAGAAACTCAGATTCCCACCTAATAGATCCACTGACAGGAAGACCTCAGATAAGGGGAAACTGAGGACTGAACTCTGACCACTGTTCTTTGTTCTAAATTTCTTCCTGAGGGGCCTGGAGAGAGTAAAGCCCACAGGCCAGGCCTGAACATTCCTCTCTACTGCCCCCAACTGTGTAAGGAAGCTTTGCTTCCTTATGAATCACAAATCAGAGAATCTTTATCTCTATCTACGACTTGTAAGCTCCCTCATCAGGATATTCCTCCTTTTAAGGCCAAACCAGTGTGTAACTTCTATGCATTGATTTATGATGTTGCCTGTAACTCTGCTTTCCTGAAATTTACCCCTATCTTTAAGAAACCTTGCTTGTGAGCCATTGAGGAGGTTGGGTCTTAACTGTGAGCTGGCTGATTCTCCTTGCTTGGCACCCTACAAATAAATGCCCTCCTTTATCTCACTACAAAATCTCAGTATGGATGTTTGTTTTTACTGCCCTAGGTGAGTGGACTCCAGTTCTGTTTGGTAACACATCTACCAGCAGCTGAGCAATGCCCAGCTCCAGGGTGTGTATCTATTGCTGCCAAGACCCATTTGCTGCTTCCTGGGGCTACTGGTATCAGTGTAACTTGCCAGCTCTGTATTTTCAAGATCTTCCCATAAAAGAATCTGCCACATAGCCATATGCTATCTCTGTCTCTCTCTCTTTTTTTTGTTAAAGAAAACACTTATATGTATTTTGTGCCTGTGATGTGGGGAATGCAAGAGGAATATGCCTTGATTCCACCTCTCTCTGCATTGCTACAGCCCCAGTGTCTACTTACTTCATGGACCTAGGTGATCACCGCAAGCAAACGTGGATTTTTTTTAGATGTGGTCTTGATATCTTTCTCTGGCTGGACTCAAGTGCTGCTCAGGCCAAACTCTAACTCCTGGACTCAAGATATCCTTCTGCCTCAGCTGTTGTCATAGCTGGAATTACAGGTGCACCTGGCAAACACTTGGAGATAAATGCTTGTTTATTTCAATCACCTTCCAAACCTGGAAGGGAGTTATTCTGATGGGCATTGATGGGCACTGAGGGGACGGTGCTAAACCATTCATGAGAAACTGCCCCCGTGATCCAATCACCTCCCTGCAGGTCCCACCTCTAATGCTGGGGATTCCATCCAACATGAGATTCGGGCAAGAACAACATCCACTCTATATCAGGCATCAACGTGTCTTACATTAATGAACCTCTCAAATTACCATCGTGATTTCCATAGGACTGTGTCTCATTTGGGCACTCTTTTCATCGGCAAGTTTTCCTTTGCTTTCCTGATTAATTATATGGCCAGGCCATTAGTCACTGCCTGTAAGTCAATAAAAACTAAAACATAGGAGCTTTATTATTGTTCAATTCTTCCACCACTGCTGAGAAACACCCTGCAATTCAGCCCACAAGAGTTGTTCTGTTTTTATCTTCTTCGATCAAAGCGGTGGACTTCCAAACAGGATGTTGTCCATTCATCTTCCAAATGCTGTACACAAACCAACCAGCTGTTTGAGATCAGTTGACGGATATTGCAGTTCAAATCCCAGCGCTGTCTGCTGCAGAGTTCCATCTTGCTCAGAGAAGGTCAATGTTTTGTTTAATTTACACCTTCAATGAATTGAATGAAGCCCACCCACATTATAGAGATCAATCTACTTTACTCAAAGTCTAGTTATTTTGCATTAATGTTATCCAAGAAACATTCTCACAAATCATCCAGAATAATGCTTGATCACCTATCTGGGCACTGTGGTTCAGCCAAGATGACAAATAAAATTAATTATGACATTCTTCAATTTAAGAATATTCTGAGGAAATTAGCCTTTGTCCTAATAAAACAAGGAACAAACAACTGTTTCTAAAAATTTTCAACCAACAGTCAAAAAGCCATTCCTATAGATTGTTGCTCAAGTTCATTCTATAACTGTGGGTGAAAAAAACATGTATTTGTTGAAAACAGAAGGAGAGAAAAATGAATAAGCAGAAAGTAAAAAAAAAGACATGAGAATAATAATAAAGATGACAGCCGTTATTTCACTGGAAACAATGCAAATGAGAAGACAGATGAGCAACATCTTTAAAGTCCTAAAAGGAAAATACTGTGAAACTAGATTCTATTCCCAGAAAATAATACCTTTCTAAAACATATATATGTATAATTTAAATTGACAAATCATAATACATTCATGAGATGTTGTGTGATGTACTGATATATGTATACCATGTGTAATGATTAAATCAAACTAATTAACCAATTAACATACCATGAATATAGCTATCGAAAAATAGATTTTAGTTATATAGGGAGTGAAAAAAGTTATAACTAGCAGATCTAAACTATAATAAATGTTTCAGTCCTTCAGGCAAAAAGAAAATTAAGGGACTAGTTGGCACAGCATTTAGTGATGAAAAGACAGCTTCATTTCCTTTTTCCACTGAGACAGAGAACACAGCCCAGGGTCCTGGGAATTGCTCAACCCAATCCACCACTGTGGACACCTGAGAACTCCTCCTGGGTAACCGAGGTTGGGTGCTATCACCTTAGCTGTCACCTACCTGCAAACACCACCTATGGGCATTCCACCCAGCCTATCATAGCTACTGCTAACATTAATGCACACTTTTTGGGACCAGTAGTTCTCCTTGCAGACATCTTTTACCTCCCAAATTAGCATTATTCCTAGGTATTGTGTTCTTTTTGTGGCAATTGTGAGTGGGAGTTCATTCCTGCTTTGGCTCTTGGCTTGCCTGTTGTCAGTGTGTAGAAATGCTAGTAATTTTTGCACATTGATTTTGTATCTTGAGAATTTGCTGAAGTTGTTTATCAGCTTAAGAAGCTTTTGGACTGAGGCTATGGGTTTTTCTAGTTATAGAATCATGTCATCTGCAAACAGGAATCATTTGAATTCCTCTCGTCCTATTTGAACATCCTTCTTTTTTTTTTTTTTTTTTTTTTTTAATTTCACTTGCCTGATTGCCCTGGTCAGAATTTCCGATACTGTGTTGAACAGGAGCAGTGAGAGAAGGCATCCTTGTCTTGTGCTGATTTCAAGGAGAATGCTTCTAGTTTTGCCCATTCAGTATGAAGTTGGCTGTGGGTTTGTCATAGATGGTTTTTATTGTTTTGAGGTATATTCCTTGAACACCTAGTTTATTGAGAGTTTTTTTAAAAACATGAATAGAGTTTGAATTTTATCAAAAGCCTTTTCTTCATCAACTGAGACAATCATGTAGTTTTTGTCTTTAGTTCTGTTTACGTGATGAATCACATTTATTGATTTGCATATGTTGAACTAACCTTGCATCCTGGCGATGAAGCCTACTTGATTGTGGTGGATAAGGTTTTTGATGTGCTGCAGGATTCGGTTTGCCAGCATTTTGTTGGAGATTTTTGCATTAATGTTCATCAAGAATACTGGCCTGATGTTTTCTCTTGTTTGTTGTTGTTGTATCTCTGCCACATTTTGGTATCAGGATGATGCTGGCCTAATAGAATGAGTTAGGGAGGAGTCTCTCCTCCTCATTTTTTGGGAATAGTTTCAATAGGAATGGTACCATCTCTTCTTTGTACATCCAGTAGAATTCACCTGTCAATCATCTGGTCCTGCACTTTTTTTTTTTTTTTTTTGGTAGGCTCTTCATTACTGCCTCAAGTTCAGAGCTCATTATTTTTTCAGAGATTGCATTTCTTCCTGGTTCAGTCTTGGGGGCGGTGTATGTGTCCAGGAATTTATCCATTTCTTCTAGATTTTCTAGTTTATGCGCATAGAAGTGTTCATAATATTTTCTGGTGGTTGCTTGTATTTCTGTGGGGTCAGTGGTAATGTTCCTCTTATTGTTTCTGATTGTGTTTATTGGAATTTTCTCTCTTTTCTTCTTTATTAGCTTAGCTAGTGGTCTATTTTATTAATTTCTTTTTAAAAACCTCCTGAATTTATTGATCCTTCAAATGGTTTTTTGTGTCTCTGTCTCCTTCAGGAGACAATACTTTTGTTAATTTTTTTTGTTGTTTCTTGTCTTCTGCTAGCTTCGGGATATGTTTGCTCTTCATTCTTAAGTTCTTTTAGGTTTGATTTTAGGTTGTTGACTTGAGATCTTTCTAACTTTTTGATGTGGGCATTTACTGCTATAAATTTCCCTCTTAACACTGCCTTAGCTGTTTCCCAGAGGTTCTGGTACATTGTATCTTTTTTCTCATTAGTTTCAAAGAACTTCTTGATTTCTACCTGAATTTCATTATTTACTAAAAGTCATTCAAGAACAGGTTATTTAATTTCTAAGTAATTATATGGTTTTAGTGAATTTCTTATTCTTGATTTTGAATTTGATTGCACTGTAGTCTGAGAGACTATTTGTTATGATTTCAGTTCTTTTGCATTTGCTGAGGAGTGTTTCACTTCTGATTGTGTGATTGATTTTAGAGTAAGTGCCATGTGGCAATGAGAAAAATGTATATTCTGTTGTTCTGGGGTCTGGAGTTCTGTAAATATCTATCAGGTCCATTTGCTCCAGGGCTGAATTCAGGTCCTGAATATCTTTGTTAATTTTCTGTCTTGATGATCTGTTTAATATTGTCAGTGGGGTATTAAAGTCCACCACTTCTACTGTGTGAGGTTCTAAATCTCTTTGACGGTCTCTAAGAACCTGCCTTATAAATCTGGGTGTTCCTCTATTGGATGCATATATATTTAGGATAGTTAGATCTCTTCATTGAATTGAACCCTTTACCATTATGTAATGCCCACCTTTATCTTTTTTTATCTTTCTTGGTTTAAAGTCTGTGTTGTCAGAAACTAGGATTGCAACCCTGGCTTTCTTCCGCTTTCCATTTGCTTGGAAAATTTTCCTCCATCTCTTTATTTTGTGCCTATGTGTGTCATTGAATGTAAGATGAGTGTATTGTAGGCAGCATACTGATAGGTCTTGGTTCTTTATCCAGCTTGCCCTTCTGTGTCTTTTAAATGTGGCATTTAGCCCATTTACATTTAAGGTTAGTATTGATATGTATGGATTTGATCCTGTCATCATGGTGTTAGCTGGTTACTTTGCAGACTTGCTTATGTGGTTGCTTTATTGCGTCACTGGTCTATGTACTTCAGCGTGTTTTTGTAGTGGCTGGTAACTGTCTTTCCTTTCCATATTTAGTGCTTCTTTTAGGAGTTCTTGTAATGCAGGTCTGGTGGTAATGAATTCCCTTGGCATTTGTTTGTCTGAAAAGAATTTTATTTCTTTTTTGCTTATGAAGCTTAGTTTGGCTGGATATGAAATTGTGGGTTGGAAATTCTTTTCTTTAACAATGTTCAATACTGGCCCTCAATCTCTTCTGGTGTGTAGGGTTTCCACTTGGAGGTCCACTGTTAGTCTAATGGGCTTCCCTTTGCAGGTGACCTGGCCTTTCTCTCTGGCTGCCCTTAACGTTCTTTCTTTCATTTCAACCATGGAGAATCTGATGATTGTATCTTGGGGATGATCTTCTCATGGAGTAACTTACTAGTGTCCTCTGCATTTCTGAATTTGAATGTTGGTCTGTCTAGCTAGGTTGGGAAAGTTCTCATGGATGATATCTTGAAGTGTGTTCCAAATTGATTCCATTATTCCCATCTCTTTCAGGTATACCAATAATTCATGGATTCAGTTTCTTTACATAATCTGATGTTTCTCAGAGGTTTTGTTTGTTCCTTTTCATTCTGTTTTCTCTATTCTTGTCTTCCTGTCTTATTTTAGAAAGCTGGTCTTCAAGCACTGAGAGTCTTTCCTCCACTTGTTCTATTCTGCTGTTAATACTTGTGAGTGCACTATGAAATTCTTTTAGTGTGTTTTTCAGCTTTATCAGGTTGGTTTCATTCTTCTATAATACTGGCTATTTTGGCTGTCAGCTCCTGCAATGTTTTATCATTATTTTTAGCTTCCTTGGATTGGGTCACACTGTACCCCTTTAGCACAGTGAACTTCTTCCCTCTCCATATTCTGAATTCTACTTCTGCTCTTTCAGTCATCTCAGCTTTAGCCTGGTTCCAAACCCTTGCTGGCTTTTTGAGTTTTCAGCATTGTTGTGCTGATTCTTTCTCATCTTAGTGGGCTTATCTACCTTCATTCTTTGAGGTTGCTGATCTATGAATGGGTTTTGTTTTTCTCTTCTTTTGTTTTCTCTTTCAACAGTCTGGCCACTTTTCTGTAGGGCTGCTGCAGTTTGCTGAGGGCCTGCTCCAGTCCCCAGTTGCCTCAGATTTTCCAGTAACTGGAGATATCACCAGTGAAAGCTACATAACAGCAAAGATGGTAGTCTGCCTTTTCCTTTGGGAGCTCTGTCTCAGGAAAGTACAGACCTGTTGCCAGCCCAAACACACCTGTAGGAGGTACTGGAGACCCTGGTTGGGAGGTCTTGCCCAGTCACGAGGAATAGGATCAGGATCTAGAGGTTTACCAAAGGGAGGAATACTCCCTCAGGAGACACAGAAATTATTCCATTGAGCTGGAAGCTAAGACACCCACCCGGGCCCTTCAGCTCCTCATGTTACTGAATCAACAGACAAAGGAAGGAGTTACTGCACTTTCTGGGGTGATTGGTCCTGGTCATCAGGGGGAAATTGGTCTGCTACTACACAATGGCAGTAAATAAGACTATGTTTGAAATACAGGAGATCTTTTAGAGCATCTCTTAGTAATACTCTGCTCTATAATTAAAGTCAATAAAAACTACAACAACCCAAGTCAGGCAGGACTACTAATGACCCATGCCCTTCAGGAATGAAGGTATGAGTCACCCAAGCAGGAAAAGAAACCTGATCAGCTGACGGACTTGCTGAAGGCAGTGGGACTATGGGATGGTTAGTGAAAAAAAGCTATTTACACTAGTTGTGGCCAGCACAGTGGCTCATGCCTATAACCCCAGCACTTTGGGAGGCTGAGGCAGGTGGATTCCTTAAGTCGAGGAATGTGAGACCAACCTGGGCAACATGCTGAAATTCCATCTCTACTGAAAATACATACAAAAATTTAGTCAGACTTGGTGGTGTGCTTGCAGTCCCAGCTACTTAGGAGGTTGAGGTAGAAGGATCACTTGTGCCCAGGAGGTGGAGTTTGCAGTGAGCCAAGGTAATGCCACTGCACTCCAGCCTGGGCAACAGAACAAGACCCTGTATCAAATAAATAAATAAGTAAATAAATAAATAAATAAATAACCAGCTGTAACCATGTGATCAGTTGCAGAAATAAAGACAGTAAATGTTATAAGCATTTCTTCCTTATGTTTTTACAATGATATTTATGTCTGTGTGTATGTACCCATACATGTACTAAGCAAATACCTTTGTTTTCATCTTTTCCTTATCATCTTGTAATAAAACATAAAATGTGCTAATAATAGTTCCCTTTTATTAATGATGGTTCAACTTTTTTTAAACATGGTGTTTAGGTTACAGTATATCGAAGAGAAAAATGCTTATCATGCATTGAGTTTGAATTTTTTTCTGAGGAAATGGTTAGTGTTTTTAGATGGATGCAAGATAGCTGTATCATCTTTAGCAAAAGTATGACTTTATAATTGTTTTTATTTGGAGACTAAGTATGGTTTAAGAAAACGTTAATGGGTGCCAAGTTCACAAGCATGGACTAGGGTGGTGGGTATTATGTGTCAATTTTACTAAACCATAGTGTCTAGTTATTTAATCAAACACTAATTTATATGTTGCTATGATGGTGTTTTGCACTTGTGGTTAAAATCTTATGTCAGTTGATTTTATGAAAAGGAAATTACCCTCAAAAATGTGGGCGGGACTTTTTGAATCAGTTGAAGGCCTTTGGGCAAAGTGTGAGGCTTCTCAAAGAAGAAAAAATTCTGCCTCAAGATGACAGTAGCAACTACAGTTTAGATTTCCAATCTGCCAGCCTGGTTTACAAATTTTAGACTGAAGACTGCAACATTGTGACTTTCCAGCCTGCTAGCCTGCAGAGGAGTAATTTGTGACATCAATAATGTAAAATGAGGGGTGGAAAAAGATGTAAAGAAGCAGAGTTTCATACTGGTTTCAATTCAAAATTGTTATAGTTGTATTGTTATGTGCAATACCATAGTAATCACAAAGAAAATATACATAAAATATACACAAAAGAAAGTGAGAAGGCAATTAAAACATATCACTAGAAAAAAATCGACTAAACACAAAGGAAGGTTGGAATGAGGAAGATAAGGGACGAAACAGCTATAAGACATGCATAAAACCATCACAATTACAGAGGTAAGTCCTTCTTCATCAGTAATTACTTTAAATGTAAATTGATTAAACTCCCCAATCAGAATTGAGATTATCACAATGGATATAATAAAAAGATTCTAACCATATGCTGGCTACAAGATACTCACTTTGGATCTAAGGACACATACAAGTTGAAAATGAAAGGATGGAAAAGGATATTCCTGAAAATAGTAACTAAGAATTTTTAATGATCTCTCATAGGGTTCTATGTGTTGGCTGGGCTCAGATGATGGCCTTGGAGTTTAACATGGTTCAGGGATTGAAGTGGAAGGAACCAGATGCAGGCAGGATGGTTAACAGCAGTGCCCAGAACTGACACAACCACGTTTCTGCCCTATTTTATTGGCTAACGCAGATATCAGATCTGCTCATGTTTAAGGGGATGGAGAGAACTTACCTCTTGATGAGGGAGTGGTGGATCAAACTAAAGAAAACAAAGTGTGATGGAAGATACTTCTGCAGCCGTCTTTGGAAAATACATACAATCCAAAACATCCTATCGGCCAGAAAGGAAGAACACCATCACGCCTTACCCCTCCAGTCTAAGCCCTGTGATTCTGTAGTATCCTGGGGAAGGACCATGTCTTAGGAAGCAGATGCGGAGTCAAAGCTCTAAATAAAACCCCATCTACAGCCACAATTTCACTTTATTTTGATGAAATTTTGTGTCATTTTCGATAAAATGGGGGCTCACAAATCTCTCTTCAGGGATCTCTCCAGTGGTGGGGATGATATGCTTCCTTCTCCACAGTTCTACTTTACAGATAAGTGGATCTAGGTCTCAGTTTCAGTTATTTAAAACACCAGAGACTTGGATGCATGCATGTCACAAAAAGGTGAAAGAATGCTCTGTCACTTTCCCTTCTCTCGCTCACTGCGCCCTGAACAAGAACCTGCTCTACCTTGACCTTTTGAATGGGGAGGAGGGTCGCACTCCTGACTAAGCTTCATGCTTCCAGAGATAAACCTGCTACCCCAAAAGCATAGTTTATTATAAAGACCAAACCCTACACCAAGAGCTCTCCCTTCACCTACCAGGGCAGAAACTGAATCCCATGGAAAGGCCCAGAGAAATTGTGGCTCAAAATGTCCAGTGTCATGTCCCTTCTGCCAAAATGAAGCCAACATATTCATCACAATATGGGGTATTGATAAGGTTATCAAAATGATTACCACAAAAATTTCACAAATATATTCTTTTTATTACATCAACTTTTTTGTCCTACAAATATAAAGAAAATAAGCCTGCATAGCAGGAGAAGTTTTTCCTCTGGGAGAGAATCCTCTTCCCAATGAAAAAGCTGGAGCCAGAATCACTAGAATGGAGCAAACTTTCAGGAATGACACAGCACTGCGTCTTGGGGCAGCCAGAGTTAGGGAGGGCTCACCTTCTGCGTGACACCAACCTTTGGCTGTCTTTTTTTTTTGTTCTCACTGCAAGAACAAAATTTCAGAGTATTAAGAGACAGAGTTAAGCCAAAGAGATTTACTCTGTTTTACTCTTTAAAAACGCAGTCTCGGCCAGGAGCGGTAGCTGGCGCCTGTAATCCCAGCATTTTGGGAGGCCGAGGTGAATAGATCACCTAAGGTCAGGAGTACGAGACCAGCCTGGCCAACATGGTGAAACCCCATCTCTACTAAAAATACAAAAATTAGCTGGGCGTGGTGGCAGGCATCTGTAATCCCAGCTACTCGGGAAGCTGAGACAGGAGAAATGCTTGAACCTGGGAAGCGGAGGTTGCAGTGAGCCGAGATCGTGCCACTGCACTCCAGCCTGGGTGACAGAACAAGGCTCCATCTCAATAAAAGAAAAGAAAACAAAAGAAAGAGAAGAAAGAAAAAGAAAGAAAGAAAGAAAAAGGAAGGAAGGAAGGAAGGAAGGAAGGAAGGAAGGAAGGAAGGAAGGAAGGAAGGAAGGAAAAGGAGTCTCCAGGTTAATCCAGACTGTTATGGGCTAAATTGCATCTCTCCAAAAATTGGCATGTTGGTGTCCTAACCCCCAGTACCTGAGAAAGTGACTGCATTTGGAGAGGTCTTTAAGGAGGTCATTAAGGTAAAATGAGGTCATATGAGTGGGTCTTAATTCAATGTGACTAGTGTCCTTATAAAAAGAGAAGATTAGACATAGACAGATGCAGAGGAATGACCATGTAAAGACACAGGGAAAACACATCTACAAGCCAAGGAAAGAAGCCTCAGAAGAAATGTGCACTGCCAACACCATGATCTTGGACTTCCAGCCTCTGGAACTGTGGCACAATAATTTTTCTGTTCTTTATGTCACCCAGTGTGTGGTACTTTGTTATGGCAGCCCTAGCAAATTAAAACAAACATATTACCCTGCCTAGTATCTGGACATGAAATTTTTTCAAGATTATGAATTATCAGGGATTTCTAAGAAATGAGTGAATCAATTGAAAATTGACAAGTGTAGATGATAAAGGGTCATTTACAAACCACTTTGGGTCCCATGGTCACCACTCAAAAATGGAGATATCCCCATTTCTTTTCAGTTTTACTCAGAACAAAGCTTGTGGTTCCAATCTGATATATAATCACCATCTGTATTTAAGTTTCTTGAGATGTTGAAGGAATGAGTTTTCCTCTAATTTTCTAGAAGTTATGAGAAATAATTATTTTGTAATCATTACGGAAGTAAAAGAGGATTTTTACCCAGGGCTTTGCAGGTATTATGTGCTTTCTTCCTACTTTTAAGGATGTTTCTTAAAATCCCGAGCTGATGGTCAGGCACGGTGGCTCACACCTGTAATCCTAGCACTTTGGGAGGCTGAGGCGGGTGGATCACCTGAGATCAGGAGTTGAAGACCAGTCTGGCCAAAATGGTGAAACCCTAACTCTACTAAAAATACAAAAAAATTAGCCGGGCATAGTGGCACAAGCCTATAGTTCCAGCTACTTGGGAGGCTGAGGTAGGTGAATTGCTTGAACACAGTGGGGAGAGGTTGCAGTAAGCAGAGATCGTGCAATTGCATTCCAGCCTGGGCAACAAGAGTGAAACTCCATCTCAAAAAAAAAAAAAAATCCTAAACTAATGTTTCTCTCTGCATTTACCCCTTAGTACTGGGGCAACACTCACTGCATCTCAGTAAGGATGAAATGTGTTTTCATTTATTCTCACTAGAATGGATGTGTTTATCCATGACTCACAGATGAATTAACAAGCACCAGGACTTGGAGAGATTCTCCTGAGGTCACAGCCGTTGAGTGGTGGAGCAGTGACAAGCACCTGGCACCCTTGGTCTAGTCCAGTATTCTGGGTGCCACAAGAATTGCAGAATTGCAACCTTGATTTTTACACATTTGGTTATTTTCTCTTTTTTTATTTCCTTTGTCGTTGTTGTTGTTGTTGTTGTTGTCGAGACAGGGTCTCACTCTATCACAGGCTGGAGTGCAGTGGCACAATCTCAGCTGGCTGCAACCTCCACCTTCCGAGTTCAAGTGATCCTCATGCCTCAGCCTCCTGAGTAGCTGGGATTACAGGTGCATGCCACCACATCTGGCTAATTTTTGCATTTTTGGTAGAGATGGAGTTTCATCATGTTTGCCAGGCTGGTCTCGAACTCCTGACCTCAGGTGCTCCTCCCACCTCAGCCTCCCGAAGTGCTGGGATTACAGGTGTGAGCCACCACGCCTGGCCATTTGGTTATTTTCTTAACCAGAGAAGGAAAATGCATGGTGAAAATAAAGTGCAAGAGCCCTAGGCCCTTGCCTTAGATTTACTGGGATGGGGGATGGAGAGAGAGAGGCTGCCACTGTTTCTCTGAATTCCAGCTCCCAGTGTTGGTCACTCAACTGAGAGCAGGAAAATTCACCTTGTGCACTTGGGGCATCAGGACAAAGATGACAGGGAGTCCCACATCTACCACGAAAGAGAAAAGGGTCCCTCCTGCCTTATGAATCATGTCCCAGTTTTCTAATTGCATGTGCTTTCCTGCACACATAATGATTTCTCCTTCCTTCAAGCACCAGTTGTCACAGGGCAAATACAGCAACAGCAGAAAGGAATTGCTACTGAGCCTGATGCTCTGATGGAAGCTCTGAGTGGAGACTTTATT
This sequence comes from Homo sapiens, assembly GCF_000001405.40. NCBI lineage: Eukaryota > Metazoa > Chordata > Mammalia > Primates > Hominidae > Homo > Homo sapiens. Next base: position 2,542,585 of record NT_167249.2, on the reverse strand, counting down.
TCACATGTAGGTGCCTCTGAGTCAATGCAGAGTTTTGCCTGACTCCACTCTAGCTCCAATTCGATCAAGGTCTATATGCTCTGGGACCTCTCCAGTTCCTCATCAGACATGACAAAGAATGCCACATGTCCAGCTCCTGGGGTGCCTGATGGCAGTGAGAGGCAGCTCCTAATTGGGGGAGAGCTTTGGGGTTACCAAGGCCTCACAGACTTCATTACTGTTGGGCCACGTGGCTTCAGTCCCGTGACCACAATGGGTTCATGAGCCTGGATTCACCTCTGACATTCGTGTCTTTTTTTCTTGGGCTTTCACAAGTGGCCTCTGGTTGAGATGGGGGGAAAGGAAACAGGGATTCAAAATCTCTGACTGCCCAGTGGCCTCCCCTCACTTCCACTCAGAGACAACATGGCCATTTCGCTAAATTCCTGAAGACGCGGCCAATATAAGTAACAGAACACAGAGAGTTGCCTTGAACAGAGTTCCATGGAAGGGTGGCTGGTGCCCTCTAGACTCTTTGTCTACACTTGCTGGGCTTTCTTTAGCATGAAATGTCCCAGAGACAGCCACATTCTAAGCTTGGATCCTCAAAGCAAAGGGTGTGAGGGCCTTATCCCTGGCCAAATGAGCACTGAATTTGAGAGAGACCAGGAAACCTTCTAATTATTGGGACACTTTACTCCTGAATCCTGAATCCTGGAAGTTGGTTTCTGGCCAGGGAGGCAGGTGTCTTTATATCTTGTCTGTCTCTGTGAGGCCTCTTGTCCCTCTGCCCTTCCCATCTTTCTACCCCCGTTAATCCCAGAACAGATAGAAACATTCTGCCTTCTTTGATGCCTCTTGCTATAAACTTCAATGGCTTTTGATTGAATTAATAAGTGAAATCAACTTTAATAAAACATGAGGTTTAAAGAATGGCATTTGACATGGGTTTAGAATGAATAAATGGATCAAGTAATGAATTTTGAGAAAATGCATGTAAAATTTATCTTTAATTCCCAATGGCATTTTATTAACTTGACTGTGGAATTAATAAATGATTCTAAATCAATACCAAAACGTGCAATCACAAATGTGTGAATGCACAGAAGTGTGAATGAAGGGCAGTGCACACAGGAAAAAAAGATGTGCACATGAAGAACTTCTTCATTCCAGGTTTTTACTGATCCCTCTAGTCAAGATGGGATAAGAGTCCAAAAATATGCTTTCCTCACATGGTCAAATGATTCAGCATAAAATACAACTGATTGAACACAATTATCTATGCTTTAAATATATTAGAAAAAATCCATAAGGAAAAATGATCCTACCATCACTAAGATTTTAATTTATAATAAAATAAAGCCTAGAAATGTATCTTTTGTTCCCAATTCCAATGATTATAGGATTTCAGTGTTTGGCTTTGATAAGACCATTTAAAACAACTCAGGGAAGTTTTCTTAACAAACTCTATAGCAGGACCACAGCTAAACCTATGAGCATTAGTAGAAGTAAACAATGACACTGCCTTTAAAATTTCACTTTGAAAAACATGTTTGAAAGTGGCTGACTGGCTCCTAATTTAACTATCATTCGAGGTCATATGTTAGATTGGCAAAGTTGTTGTAATTTGTATGTATTTTATTTTTGTAATGCAAGTGCTTCACTCTACTATCAGATAAAATAAAATGTTAAGCTGGACATGGTGGTGCACACCTGCAGTCCCAGCTACTCAGGAGGCTGAGTGGGAGGATCCCTTAAGCCCAGGAGTTCAAGGCTGCAGGAAGCTCTGATGGTGCCACTGCATACCAGCCTGGGCAACAGAGTGAGGCCCTGAGTCTAAAAAATAAATAAATTAATTAAATGTTAACTTCAAATCTTATTGTTAGCAGTTCAACCTTGAACTGATTATTGGAGTTTTTTTTTTTTTTTTTTTTTTTTTTTTGAGACAAAGTCTCACTCTACCGCCAGGCTGGAGTGCAATGGCATGATCTCGGCTCACTGCAACCTCGCCTCCTGGGTTCAAGCGATTCTCCTGCCTCAGTCTCCTGAGTAGCTGGGACTACAGGCACCTGTCACCATGCCTGGCTAATTTTTGTATTTTTAGTAGAGACGGGGTTTCACCATGCTGGCCAGGCTGGTCTCGAACTCCCGACCCCAGGTGATATGGGCCTCCCAAAGTGCTGGGATTACAAGCATGAGCCACCATGTCTGGCCTTGAGATCTTATCTGAGAGAAGCTGTTGTGAAAACTTAGAGAATATGAACAAGAAGTAAATGTCAATCTTGTTTCTAAATTACAAACTAAAAGGAAATTCTATAAACCTTTAATACTAAGCTAAATCATGGTAGAATGAATGACCAAAAACTATCCTACAAAACATACCAGCTGCTAGGTGTATCTGAATACTAATAAAAGATGAATGGAAAAAATGCTCTAGGAATGAGGTCAAGAGTTCAAGACCAGCCTGGCCAACATGGTGAAACCCCGTCTCTACTAAAAATTCAAAAATTAGCCGGGCATGGTGGTGGGCACCTGTAATCCCAGCTACTCGGGAGGCTGAGGCAAGAGAACCACTTAAACCTGGGAGGCAGAGGTTGCAGTGAGCCAAGATCGCACCACTGCACTCCAGACACGGCAACAGAGTGAGAACCTGTCTCAAAAACAAAAAACAAGGAAGGAAGGAAGGAGGAAAGAAAGAAAGAAAGAAAGAAAGAAAGAAAGAAAGAAAGAAAGAAAGAAAGAAAGAAAGAAAGAAAGAAATTATATTTAGAATAAAATTCTTACCTTATAGCAAAATTTCTTATTGAAAAACCACTTTATTTCACATACAAATAAGAATTCAGCATTTTTCTATACCCAGAGATAACAGAGATAAACAGGGGTTTTTTGTGGGGTTCAGATATTTTATTAGCTGCTGAGTGTAAGAAAATCTACCACTGAAGAAGCTGAAATCCCATTTTTCTTTGAAATGGGATCTTTCCAAAGTTAGTAACAATGAAGTTGTCATTCACATAATGGATGACTGAACAAAAAGATAGTGATAGTAGATGCTGCATTTTGTTTCTGTAATGTTGGGAACGGGCCCCCCAAAATATGGCCATAAACTGGCCCCAAAACTGGCCATAAACAAAATCTCTGCAGCACTGTGACATGTTCGTGATGGCCATGATGCCCACGCTGGAATGTTGTGGGTTTACCAGAATGGGGGCAAGGAACACCTGGCCCACCCAGAGTGGAAAACCACTTAAAGGTGTTCTTAAACCACAAACAGTAGCGTGAGCAATCTGTGCCTTAAGGACATGCTCCTGCTGCAGATAACTAGCCAGAGCCCATCCCTTCATTTCAGCCCATCCCTTTGTTTCCTGTAAGGAATACTTTTAGTTAATCTATAATCTATAGAAACAATGCTTATCACTGGCTTGCTGTCAATAAATACATGGGTAAATCTCTGTTCAAGGCTCTTGGCTCTGAAGGCTGTGAAACCCCTGATTTCCCACTCCACACCTCTATATTTCTGTGTGTGTATCTTTAATTCCTCTAGCTCTGCTGGGTTAGGGTCTCCCCCACCAAGCTGGTCTCAGTAAGCAGCACCCATACGTGGGGGCTCGAATCCAGGTTGAAGGGTCGCCAGAGCAACAGTTGGAGAATGGGGAACTAAGCTGGAGGACACCCAAGTACTCTTAAGCAATCCTCGTAGTGAGTAAGATGGGGAGCTTGGAAGCATCCGGTAACAATGGGACAAGTGTGGGCTCTGGTTCGTTCCACCTTGGAACTTTTTCACACTGATGATGAGGAGGAAGGAGAGTATGACGAAGTAACAGAAGAGGTTACAGAGCAGGTTTATTTGCCAGCTAAAGCTAAAGCTAAAGCGGCAAAGGAGGAAGAGGTTCATCCCTACCCTTCTGCACCCCCTCATTATTATTTTGAAGAAAAAGAGTGGCCAGACCCTCCAGATCTTTCTTTTCTGGAGGACACTGGGCGAAAAGTAGTTGCCCCAGTGACTGAGCAGCACCTCGAGCGACTGCTGTCAGTTCTATTCAGGCAGGAGTTCAGCAGGCTAGACGAGAGGGTGATATAGAGGCTTGGCAGTTCCCTGTTAGAATACACCACCTGATCAACAGGGAAATATTATAGCTACATTTGAGCCTTTTCCTTTTAAATTACTCAAATAATTTAAACAAGCTATTAATCAGTATGGACCAGGTTCTCCTTTTGTAATGGGACTGTTAAAGAATGTTGCTGTTTCCAGTCGGATGATTCCTGCTGACGGGGACACTCTTATTCGAGCTTGTCTAAGTCCTGCTCAATTCTTACAATTTAAAACTTGGTGGGCAGATGAAGCTTCCATTCAGGCTGCTTGCAATGCCCAGGCCGAAACTCAAATTAATATAACATGGACCAACTTTTGGGGGTCGGCTGCTGGGCTGGTTTAGACGCACAAGTGGTCATACAGGATGATGCCGTAGAGCAGCTTAGAGGAGTGTGCATTAGAGCTTGGGAAAAAATCACTTCAGGTGGAGAACAATACCCTTCCTTTAGTGCTGTAAAACAGGGACCAAAAGAACTGTATGCAGATTTTATAGCTTGGAATCTCTTAAGACAGGAGTCTCTTAAAAAGGTGATTTCAGATTCAGCTGCTCAGAGTATAGTGTTGCAGTTATTAGCTTTTGGCAATGTTAATCTCGATTGCCAGGCTGCTTTGTGACCTATTAGAGGGAAAGCACATTTAGTTGATTATATCAAGGCCTGTGACGGTATCGGAGGTAATCTGCATAAAGCTACTTTGTTGGCACAGGCAATGGCAGGACTGAGAGTGGATAAAGGAAATACTCCATTTCCTGGAGCTTGTTTTAACTGTTTGAAGCATGATCACACTAAAAAACAATGTAGAAAAAATCAGCAAGTCAGGCCACCATATAGGGGAAAAAAAGAAAACTACTGAGCCTGAAATATGTCCAAAATGCAAAAAAGGAAAACATTGGGCTAATCAGTGTCACTCTAAGTTTGATAAAGATGGGAACCTGATTTCAGGAAACACCATGAGGGGCCCATCCCGGGGCCCCATTCCAAACCGGGGCATTTCTGGCTCAGGCCATTCCCTCATCCTTGTACAATATCTGTCCCCCGCCACAGCCAGTAGCACCACAGTAGATTTATGTTGCACAAAAGCTGTGAGGCTTCTGCCTGGGGAAACCCTGCAAAAGGTCCCAACAGGGGTCTGTGGACCCTTGCCAGCGGGAACGATAGGATTATTTCTAGGAAGGCCTAGTTTAAGTTTAAAAGGAGTACAAATACATACAGGGGTCATTGATTCAGATTACAATGGGGAAATTCAAATTGTTATATCTACTTCTGTTCCCTGGAAAGCAGAGCCAGGAGAGTGTATAGCACAGCTCCTGATTGTGCCGTATGTGGGAATGGGAAAAGTGAAATTAAACAAACAGGAGGATTTGGAAGCACAAATAAACAAGGCAAAGCAGCTTATTGGGTGAATCAAATTACTGATAAACGTCCTACCTGTGAAATAACTATTCAGGGAAAGAAATGTAAAGATTTGGTAGATACAGGAGCGGACATTTCAATCATTTCTCTACAGCACTGGCCGTCTGCGTGGCCAGTTCAACACACTCAACTTAAAACAGTTGGAGTTGGTAAAGCCCCTGAAGTATATCAAAGCCATTATATTTTGCATTGTGAAGGGCCCGATGGACAACCTGGGACTATTCAACCAATTATAACTTCTGTATCTATAAATTTATGGGGGAGAGATTTATTACAACAATGGGGAGCACAAGTTCTACTTCCAGAGCAATTATATAGCCCTCAAAGTCAACATATGATGCATGAAATGGGGCATGTCCCTGGTATGGGACTAGGAAAAAATTTGCAAGGTTTGAAAAAAAATGCTTCAAGTGGAGAGACAAAGTTCCCGCCAAGGTTTAGGGTATCATTTTTGATGGCAGTCATTGTTAAGCCTCCAGAACCTATACCTTTAAAATGGTTAACAGATAAGCCAATTTGGATAGAACAGTGGCTGCTAAGTAAAGAGAAACTGGAGACTTTAGAGAACTTCGTTAATGTACAATTAGAAAATGAGAACATAGCTACAACACTTTCCCCTTGGAATTCTCCAGCTTTTGTAATTAAGAAAAAATCAGGTAAATGGAGAATGTTAACTGATTTAAGAGCCATTAATTCAGTTATACAAGCTATAGGAGCATTACAGCCAGGAAGGACTCTTTCTTTACTATACCCTTAGCTAAGCAAGACAGTGAACGGTTTGCATTTACAATTCCTGTGGTAAACAATCTGCAGCCTGCTAAGCATTTTCATTATTTCACAGATGGGTCTAGCAATGGTAAAGCTTCTTATTCTGGATCAAAAGGTAAAGTTTTCCAGGCAACCTATACTTCAGCTCAGAAAGCAGAGCTTGTAGCTGTAATTGAGGTGCTGACTGCTTTTGATATGCCTGTTAATGTGATTTCTGATTCTTTATACATGGTTCATTCCATGCAATTAATTGAAAATGCTCAGTTATGATTTATACAGATGAACAACTGATGACAAAAAAGGGGGAGAAACAGGGATTACGAGACAGCCCATACACAACTGAATCTAGCATTATTAACTTTAAATTTTTTGAGGCTGCCCAAAGGCCAGATGTTATCAGCAGCTGAACAGCATCTACAGAAACCAGCTGCAAAGACAGGAGCAGAACAACTGGTTTGGTGAAGAGATCCAATAACAAAAAGTTGGGACATAGGTAAAATAATAACTTGGGTAGAGGTTATGCTTGTGTTTCTCCAGGCCAAAACCAGCAGCCAATTTGGATACTATCAAGACACCTAAAACCTTATCATGAGCCAGATGCCAAGGAAGAGATTCCAGGAGGATCCCGAGGACCCCCTGGTTGCAGCCATGTCGAGACTGATGCTGAGGAGGACCCTAACTGTCACGAGCAACACCCGTTGAACACAGCCACCCACCTGGGGACAGATCAAGAAGCTGTCACAGATGGTGGAAGAAAACCTGAGGAAAGCGGGACAACCGGTCACAATGACTGTTTACTGGAATGAAGGCTGTGAGACTCCTCATTTCCCACCCCACACACCATATTTCTGTGTGTGTGTCTTTAATTCCTCTAGCGCCACTGGGTTAGGGTCTCCCCGACTGAGCTGGTCTCGGCACTGTAATTCTGCCTTGTCCACATGGCACTATTTACACTTTAATTAATTAAAATTAAATGGATTTTAAAAGCCAGTTTCTTATTTGCACCAGCCATATATTTCAAGTACTCAGAATTCACAGAATATGAATGTCTGTATCTGTGCCATAATGAATAGCTCAGATATAGACACTCCATCACTGCAGAAGGGGGTTGGACAGTGGTATTCCAATGTTTCATGGACAGGATCCTGAGTATAATTACGGAATAATGACAATTCCAAGTTCCCATTTCAATTCATGGTCTCTTCTCTGATTCGTGGTGTAGGGGGCAGCCCATCTCTTTTGTGAATAAAGGTTAATTTTTCCAATTACACGTAAGTAGCTAATATTATTTTTTTTTTAGCAGTCTTACAGTGTAAGTTACAACCAAAAGTGAAGTGCCTGAATTATATTTACATTTTAACAAATGGTTTTAAAGGGAAAATCCATGTGAAAAAGAAACAAAAGTCAGGAAAAAAAACACACGGAAGTTTCCATACCAATCCTGATAGCAATAACAATCCCTTTGCTGTCGTGAGAGTTCACCCTCATCCTGATTTCATAGTAATCCTGTTCACGCCTTTCTTTAAAGCTTTACTCCCATGCATACATCTCTAAAACAATATAGGTTATCTCAAACTTCATATAGATTTTGAATCTTTTGATACAAATGGAATCGTGCTATGTGTATTCTTATGAGACCTTATTTTAGCTCAAATGTATGTTTGCTAAGTTGTTATAGGTGTCTCTAGAGCATTCATGTTTATTATTCATAGAATTCCACACATTAAATTAATCCTTCTTTGTTTGTGGTCATTTTATTTGTTTTCAGGTTTTAAAAATTACAAACAATGCTGTTGTAAGCCTTCTTGCACATGTATGTTGGCACAATGAGCATATATCTTTCAAAATTATATGCCTAAGAGTGGAATTACTGGTGTGTGTATATGATATCCTACCCAAAGAGATGATGCCACACTGCTAGACAAAGTGTGTGACAGCTCTTGATGGTCCATATTCGCACCAACATTTGGAATAGTCAGTGATTTTAATTTAGAAATTCTAGTGGATTTGTCATGACATATCATTATATTTCTTTCCTTAAACTTTATTAAGATATAATTCACATATCATTCACCCATTTAAAGTATACAATTCAATGGTTTTTCACATATTTGGATTTTTAAATCACCATATCTAATTTTAGAACATTTTCATCATCCCAAACTGTTCTCTACAGTTTGAGAGCTGCCTTCTGCAGACCAGCAAGACACAGATTGTTCTCAGCTCCCCTTGTCTCTGGACCCTGACTTCTCTTCCCCCAGCTGCACAGCTGATAAACTGTGTCTCCTCCCAAGCATAGCCCAGGAAGGATACAGGGAGAGGGGCCCATTCCCCTGATGTCCCAGAACCCCTTCCACATAATCCCAATATCCAGGCCCGGTGTCCCCTTCCCTGGATCAACCTTCTTTTTCTGGGAATGAAAGAGTTGCAGTGTTTCCCTCCCAGATCTCCCCTGTGACTCACTCACTCTAAACAGATATCTTGCTCTATGAGTTATTATTCTCATATCCTTTCTTTGAAGCTGTGATAAGATATTACAAACTATTAAGAGAACATGGAGGCTAGGCGTGGTGGCTCACGCCTGTAATCCCAGCACTTTGGGAAGCCAAGACAGGCAGATCACCTGAGGTCAGGAATTCGAGACCAGCCTGGCTAACATGGTGAAAACCCCATCTCTAAAAATACACAAATTAGCTGGGTGTGGTGGCAGCTGCCTGTAATCCCAGCTACTCGGGATGCTGAGGCAAGAGAATTGCTTGAACCAGGAGGTGGAGGTTGCAGTGAGCCGAAATCACGCCATTGCACTCCAGCCTGGCAACAAGAGATAAACTCTGTCTCAAAAAAAAAAAAAAAAAAAAAAAGAAAGAGAGAGAGAGAACATGCAGGTTAGGTTCTCTTTTTGGATTCTGAGGACCTGCTGTGCTGGGGCAGAGGCAGGTGGGGAGAGAAGGACAGGTGGGGGGGCAGGTGCTGAGTGGTGTGCACCCTTGCTCCGTGCTCAATAAAGTTCCTGCTGTGGTCATTTCTTGTGTATTTGTCTGGATCCCTCCGTGTGCTGGGATTTGTGCCTGGTCTTTAGGGGCGGGTGCTGCTCCAGGTCGGAGGCCTCACACATCTCCAGGCTGAGTCTTTCTCCAAGTCCATGGAGGTCATGGGCTGAGAATGACAGTTCTCCATCCTGCCCTCAGCTCCACTTTGTGTGTGTGTATTTTTACATGTTGATCTCACCCCTCTCGTCAGAGATTTACAGGAATAGTACTCTGTAGGAGAGCCGTTATCATCCTGCTCCGGCCAGGCTCTGTCTCTCACTTTTGGGTCGTGTGTTCTGTTTCTTGTCCTCTAAAGACTCAGGGCAGCCTCTGCACTTGGGGCTTCTCAGATGCCCCAGATTGATTGTTTTCACCTTTGCCTTCCTTCCTGCTCTGTTTCCAGAATACTCTTATTTTTCCCTTTTATTGTAGTAAGTCAATTTTTTGAATTAACATCATGAATAGATGTGTTAGTGCAATGTCTTAAATACATTCTTGTCACTTCTCCTTTTGTGGGAGCACCCTGTGGTCAGTCAGGGACCTGGCAGGAAAGAGATGGCACCTTTTTTTTTTTCCCGAGACTGAGTTTCACTCTTGTTGCCCAGGCTGGAGTGCAATGGTGTGATCTCGGCTCACCACAACCTCTGCCTCCTGGGTTCAAGCAATTCTCCTGCCTCAGCCTCCCGAGTAGCTGGGATTACAGGCATGCGCCACCACGCCCAGCTAATTTTTTATTTTTAGTAGAGACAGGGTTTCTCCATGTTGGTCAGGCTGGTCTTGAACTCCCAACCTCAGGTGATCCTCTGGCCTCAGCCTCTCAAGGTGCTGAGATTACACGTTTGAGCCACCGCGCTGGCCTGAGATGGCACCTTCTACACAGGTGCCGGCAGGGCTAAGAAAGCCACAAAGGGCGCTGAAGCTCCCTGGGATTATTCCTGGCAGGAAACTGTTTTCATCTTGAAGCTTGAAAGAGCAACGAAGGGAGCAGTTTCCAGAACCCAAGGAAATCTGTAGCTTTCACTAGGGGCAGACCCACATGCCTGTGGCTGTAGGTAGAGGACGGCAATGATTACGGAACCACAGAGCTGTCCAGAGGGAGTGAGGGAAATGAAAACCCTGAGTTACTTCTCCCCGCATGCTCCCATCTCCTGCAGGTGCCTGTTATCATCCACACCCAAGCAGAAGCCAGGTGGTGCAGGAGCATGGGCCGTGCCTGTTGTGGTTGCCTCCCAGTGCAGGGGACAAGGTGGAGGAGGGTGAACGACGGCCCTGTGGAGAGAGAGAAGCAGAGAATAATGCACTCACCTGCTTACAGAGTCCACATTCCTCAGGGAATTCACTTAAATATCCTAGAGTTTGCCCTAATCCAAAGGCATGGCTTCAAAAAAAAAAAATACATGTAATTTATTCATTCTGAGGCAGAAATTTAAAAATAATAATAATAATAATAAGTATTGCATTTACTTACTTTAAGTTAAAGCTAAGGCTTAGAATGTGGCAAGGCAAAAGTTAAAAAGAAAAAGAAAAGAACAAGTTTTTTTCTGCTTAGCAAGCTTACCTCAAGGACAGTTTTATACATATATTTTTTTTTAGATGGTGTCTCGCTTTGTCACCCAGGCTGGAGTGCCATGACACAATCTCGGCTCACTGCAAGCTCCGCCTCCCAGGTTCACGCCATTCTCCCGCCTCAGCCTCCCGAGTAGCTGGGACTACAGGCACCCACCACCACACCTGGGTAATTTTTTGTATTTTTAGTAGAGACAGGGTTTCACCATGTTAGCCAGGATGGTCTCGATCTCCTGACCTCGTGATCTGCCCACCTCGGCCTCCCAAAGTGCTGGGATTACAGGCGTGAGCTACCGTGCCCAACCCAAGGACAGTTATAAGATAACACTGTCTGAATAGCTAGGGCTAAAAAAATAGGCCTTGGACACTTCTTTTTTCTAGAGCAAAGTTGAAGGAAAAAAAGAGAAAAAAAGATTATTTTACTGTAGAATGCATGAACCAGACACTCAAGCAGCTACTGAAGAAATATTGCCAAGAAACTCATCTGAGACAGAATCAAGTCTTGCCTATAGTCCTCCTCTGAGCCAAGCGCACCCCCACCAAACAAACTAAGTATTTACCCTATAAGATTTTGTTCAATCAGCCACCGTCAAATTAAAAGTGATCTCCAAGAACTAAAAGAACTAACCTTAAGAAATCAAATGCAGGCTTTAGAAACAGCCATGCAAAGTGTTCATAGTTAAGTACATAAAAGAATGCCTAGAAGTCTAACAGACCCAGTACACCCTTTAAACCTAGTAGCTTTGTTTAAGTTAAAAAGTAGAACCCAACTTCTCTAAGACCCATGTAAGATAAGCCCCACAGAGTAATCTTGTCCACTCCCACTGCTGTTAAAGTTGCAAGAATCGTGCCTTAACTCCATCACAGTCGGCTAAAATCGGCAGCTCAGGACAAGTGAACCAGCCAGCAACACCCAGATCATCCAACCCGGCTGATCCTGAGACAAGACCAAGCTGCTGCTGAAGACGACAGCCCTGCTCTGGTCACTCCAGAGGCTGACCAGTCTACGCACAGCTGAAGTTTGAAGAAACAACAAGCCTTGCTCTAGTCACACACTGGAAGCTGACTAGTCTATGCACGGCTGAAGCTTAAAGACTCATCAAGCAAGTAAATGTAGTTAGAAATCTTAAGACTAGTAGTTTTCCTGTAATACTAACTGTTTTCCTATTGTTCTGTCACTGTGCTCAACCTCCTCCCCCAAATAAAGACCTCTTTTGTCCTTGCTAGATTTAAATATGCTGTACATTGTTTTGATGTTGTTACCCCCTTAACCATACTAGAAGAAACACTGACAGAAAAGTGTCCCCACTGTACACATACTACTTAGTCAAAGAACAGTATAACTAGAACTCTGTTGTACCATACTTATAAGTGTACAAAGACTCGCTTAAGAACTTATACTTATAAGGCCGGGCGCGGTGGCTCACGCCTGTAATCCCAGCACTTTGGGAGGCCGAGGCGGGTGGATCACAAGGTCAGGAGATCGAGACCATCCTGGCTAACACGGTGAAACCCCCGTCTCTACTAAAAATAAAAAAAAAAAAAATTAGCCGGGCGTGGTGGTGGGCTCCTATAGTCCCAGCTACTCGGGAGGCTGAGGCAGGAGAATGGCGTGAACCCGGGAGGCGGAGCTTGCAGTGAGCCAAGATTGCGCCACTGCACTCCAGCCTTGGAGACAGAGCGAGACTCCGTCTCAAAAAAAAAAAAAAAGAACTTGTACTTATAATCAGACCACCTGTTCAATTTGTGACCCAAGAAATGGCCAGCCTTATATATGCTATGACCGAAGTCTTTACCTAGGACTTAGTTTAAGATTCATACAAGAAAAAAAAAAAAAGAAGTCTTATAAGTCAAACCCAAGCCTCTCCTTCCCAGGGTGGGGGCTATATCCATATACTTTGATATTTGTCAGTTAACATCCATGAACCCAACCTATCTCACAATCTCTAGTCCTACAAAGTACTATAAAAACTGCCAGTATAAAATTGTATGTACACTCCCTGTTTGTCCCTCCAAGGCCCTAGCAATAGCTTGCTGGAACTGCACAATGCAGTTCACTGACCGATCATCACTGAGGCCAAAGCCAATCTTGCTCATCAAAGTACCAGCAAAACCAGATTGTAAGACAAGCATTTGCAATCCTGTAAATCTTACTATCTTAAGGCCAAATCTACCTGTACGGACTATAGGCTACTCCATGGCATTACAAAGCTACGGTCAAAAAGCTAAAACAACTTTGTATATTATAAAGAAGACTTGAACCAAGCAGTCAGCCCAGGAGCAATTCCGAGTCTTTAAGTCATTCTTTGAGCATATAAACCAGAAGTTACCAGAGCCTCCTCCTTTAGCCAAAAACCTATTTGTTCAGCTGGCTGAAAACATTGCTGGCAGCCTAGGCGTTTCCTCATGTTATGTTTGTAGAAAGACTAGCATAAAAGACCAATGGCCTTAAGAAGCAAAAAAGTTAATGCCTCAAGATAACTTTACTCCAACTGACTCTTTCCCCAAACCGATGCCCACAAGTTCAAGCGTCTGGCTCTTAAAAACTTCTATATCGAGGCCGGGTGCAATGGATCATGCCTGTAATCCCAGCACTTTGGGAGGCTGAGGCAGGCGGATCGCCAGGTCAGGAGATCGAGACCATTCTAACACAGTGAAACCCTGTCTCTACTAAAAATACAAAAAATTAGCCGGGTGTGGTGGCGGGTGCCTGTAGTCCCAGCTACTCAGGAGGCTGAGGCAGGAGAATGGCGTGAACCCAGGAGGCGGAGCTTGCAGTGAGCCAAGATTGCGCCACTGCACTCCAGCCTTGGAGACAGAGCGAGACTCCGTCTCAAAAAAAAAAAAGAAAGAAAGAGATTCCATCTGCATGTATACATTCAGCCAGGACACAGTGGCCAGGGGTCTTAAACACCACCCAAGGGCCTTCAGGCAGTCAAGTTCCTCTTTCTTCTCAGGGTTCAGCCTGAGCACTGGGGTGACCAAACACACTGTGCAAAGGGCAGGAACCTCTTCAATGCCAGCTTATGAATCTGTCCCCTCCAGTGGTGGGAAATCGCACCTCAATCCACAATCCACTATTTCTTCCCGCCCTTACCTCCTCACACCCATCTGGAATTTAGGGGAATGTGGAGAGCAGCCAGCAGCAATAGCAGCAGCTGAGGCCTAAGGAAAACTGAACAGGAAGCCAAGGAAACACATCAGGTGACTAAAATTGTTTGCTGTTCTGCACATGTCCAAGAATGACCCCAAAAGATTTTCAATGACCAGTTCTATGGTTACCAACCTACCGGGCCACGTCATAGACATCAAGTGGATGAACATTGCCTTTATCAATGACAGGTGAGCCCCACACCCAGAAGGACACCTACTCTTCCCATTCCTTATGTTTTCTATCTTTTCACACCTTACATCCTCTTCCCTCCCTCTGGGTGTCTTCCCTCTTTGGGTCTTCTGTTTCTACCCTCTGCCTCCTTTCAGGTGACTAGAGCAGGCTGGTTTGGAACAGGGCTTGGCCATCAGCGTTTGTGTCAGATGAGAATCATGCAAGGATCCAGTGTGATGGGCAGCATCGCTTCGAGGTCAGTGTTAGTGAGCTGCCTGATGAGACAGATGTCTCCTCCACGGTGAGTGCTGATCTCATGAAACACTTAGTTCCTCCCTGAACCTTAGTATGTTTTTCTTCAATCTCATCACATAGGTCATGGGCATCTGATGCATAATGGACACTTGACTGGTTCATGCCCCCTGGCCTTTGATGCTGTGTTGGGATGTTTTCCTGACCTTTATGTGGGGTTTCTGTCTTCTCTCATCATATTACATCCCTTCCCTCACCCCCACGTCCGTCCTCTGAACCCACACAGTACACCAGCGTCTGCATGTGTGCCGTGTGTTCCTGCCTCACTTTCCCCTTTTCATGCCTTATTCTGACTGTGCCATATTTTCTCTTCAGTTGAACAGACACAGTAGAGGACTCACCAATTCTGGGATGTGACAGTCTGTCCTTCAGGAGAAGACCCCAGGGTGGGGGTGAAGGAGACACTACTGCCTCCACCCCTAACAGCCCCCACCCCATGGCTTCCCTCCTCTGCATCAGCACCACTCCTGAACCCCCATTCCTGATTGTCAGAATTTTAAAAATCCTAACTAGGCTGGGCGCGGTGGCTCACGCATATAATCCCTGCACTTTGGGAGGTCGAGGCGGGTGGATCACCTGAAGTCGGAAGTTCAAGACCAGCCTGACCAATATGGAGAAACCCAGCATCTACTACAAATACAAAAATAACTGGGCGTGATGACGAGCGCCTGTAATCCCAGCTACTCGAGAGGCTGAGGCTCAAGAATCGCTTGAACCCAGGAGGCAGAGGTTGCAGTGAGCCGAGATCGCACCTTTGCACTCCAGCCTGGTCAACAAGAGGGAAACACCATCTCAAAAAAAAAAAAAATCCTAACGAAAAATGGAACACATGTGTGTCTGTGGTATCTGCATGCTACATCTTCTTACTGTGTTTGGGGAGAGGTTATTGTAGGACATGATCCAGGGTAAATTCCTGTAAGGCTGAGGTGCACTGCTGTGAAGTCAAAGGAGGCATGGGACTGAGACTGCAGAGCCCTGGCTCCCCACTACCTGCCTGTATTAGTCAGGGTTCTCTAGAACTAACAGAATAAATATATATATAAAGGGGGATTTATTAAGTAGTATTAACTCGCATGATCACATGGTCCCACAATAGGTCGCCTGCAAGCTGAGGAGCAAGGAAGCCAGTCCGAGTCCCAAAGCGGAAGAACTTGGAGTTCGATGTTCGAGGGCAGGAAGCATCCAGTATGGGAGAAAGATGTAGGCTGGGAGGCCAGTCTAGCCTTTTCACATTTTTCTCCCTGCTTTATATTCTGGCCACGCTAGCAGCTGATTAGATGGTGCCCACCCAGATTTAGGGTGGGTCTGCCTTTCCCAGTCCACTGACTCAAATGTTAATCTCCTTTGGCAACACCCTCACAGACATGCCCAGGATCAGTACTTTGTGTCCTTCAATCCAACCAAGTTGACACTCAGTATTAACCATCACACTGCTAACTTCTGGCCTTTTGTGGTCTCTTCCATTTTCCCAGTTGCCTGGGAGCAGCTGGGATATTTCTGATCCTGGGGTTCCTGGGGGCGGTGCACAGTATTTCCAATGCTGAGGGGTGCCGCAGGCACTGGTGGGAAGCTTGGGTGTCTCCTCCCAGGCTCTCTTGGTGCCTCCTTCCTTATCTGTTTCTTCAGGTTCTGGATCTTGACCATCAGGGCCTGGGCCCCCCACCCCCTCCAGCAGAGCCTGATCCACTCCAGCTGCTGCTCCAGCAACTCTTTGGCTTGGGCCAGCTCAGCTGTGTGGTGGGGCCAGGGCCCTGGTGAGGGGAGTCAGGGAGGGAGCATCAGCCAGGGCAGGGGGGCTGAGGCTCTGGAAAGCTGTGCTGCAGGGTCTGGCTGTAAGTGGGAAATTCTACCTCCCTTTCTCTGTTTCTAGCCCATTAGTTTAAGTCCACCTGTACTGAGAAGCCCAGGGAGCTCTGTATCTTAGGTACAAGCCTCTGGGGAGCAGATAGAGATCCCTGGCCCAGGAGCTATACTGGAAAGCCCACAGCTGCAGAAAGTCAGGTTGCACCTGTAAAACCCCCAGCTGGTTAAAAAAAGATAAAATTTGACTACCTGAGAGGTTTCATTTATATAACAGGAACACCTTCCCAGCCTCTCTCTGTGGGCTATTAAAGATTTCAGAGATTTCTTATTCTAAACAATTAATGAAAACATCAAGTCTTAAAAGGACACATAGTAGTGTCATGGCTAGTCTTCAAAAATTCCCTTGACTAAATTAAGAGCAAAAAAATCACTTCAAACACTTCTGGTAGTTAAAATTAAACACTTCTCAGCCGGGTGCGGTGGCTCATGCCTGTAATCCCAGCACTTTGGGAGGCCGAGGTGGGCGGATCACGAGGTCAAGAGATTGAGACCATCCTGGCCATCATGGTGAAACCCTGTCTCTACTAAAAATACAAAAATTAGTCGGGTGTGGTGGTGGGCACCTGTAGTCCCAGCTACTCAGGAGGCTGAGGCAGGAGAATCGCTTGAACCTGAGAGGTGGAGGCTGCAGTGAGCCGAGATCACACCACTGTGCTCCAGCCTGGGCAACAGAGCAAAACTAAAAAAAAAAAAACATTAAACACTTCTGCCATGGCTCAGGTTTGCCACCTCATCAGGGAACAACTAAGGGCCACCCACCTTGTGGCCTAATAGTCATAACTTTGGTTAAGACACTTGGGAGGATACCTTTTGGTAAAGAAGGTGAAAAGCCAGGAATATCAACTGTTCCTCCTGGCTAAAATCTGGTAATAAGAGATGTCAAAGGATTTTTTTAGAGCTCTATAGTCAAAATTTGACTTAATTAAAACTGATATTTTAGACTTCAGTGTGTACATATTGCTTTAAGGTCTCTTTTCTCCCTGGGTAAACATTTCTCAGTCAACTAAATGTCTCTCTTTTTCAACCCCCTGCTAGCCACATGCACTCCCTCTGTTTCCCTATTTCTTTCTTTCTTTTTTTTTTTTTTTTTTTTTTTGAGACAGAGTCTCACTCTGTCACCCAGGCTGGAGTGCAATGGCGTGGTCTCAGCTCACTGCAACCTCCACCTCCCAGGTTCAAGCGATTCTCCCACCTCAGCCTCCCAAGTAGCTGGGACTACAGGCGCCTGCCACCACACCCAGCTAATTTTTGTATTTTTAGTAGAGACGGGGTTTCACTATATTGGCGAGGCTGATCTCGAACTCCTGACCTAGTGATCCACCCACCTCGGCCCCCCAAAGTACTGGGATTACAGGCATGAGCCACTGCGCCCGGCCTCCCTTATTTATTTCTATCAGCCCCTCCTTCCTCTTGCCAACCTTGGTGCCACATAAGAAAAAAATTAAATTAAATAAAATTCTAATAGCCTGGGATCCCTTAAGAAAAATGCAAAAGGCACCACAGACACATTTTTGTGAGAAACTGCTGTTTTTTCCTCAGGGAATCCCAAGAGGGAATCCAAGAGAGGACAAAATCCTCTCAGGTCAAAAACTCCGTTCCTTTGCCTTGCATGACCTGATTTTGGCTTTGAATGGGATCAGAAATCACTTTATATTGTGAGAAAACTTGACTTTGGCGTATACAATGGCTGGGAAATGGGCTGATCACAGAGAGTGGGCTGATTGGCACTGGGTTGCCCACCAGCCTTGAGAGAAAGTTTTTGTAGCAAAACACACTAAAAATATTGTATGGCCAGGTCCCCATGGCATTACTCTCTTTCTGGGGACTGAAAATTCAGTGTGGGCTCTACCCTGAGTACAATGGTCCAGTTAAAAGATACAGGCCAAATTAAAAGCACCTATCTAAATGCAGTTGATCTCCTTATAAGATCCTATGATAGACCGGGCATGGTGGCTCACGCCTGTAATCCCAGCACTTTCAAAGGCCAAGGCGGGCGGATCACAAGGTCAGGAGATTGAGACCGTCCTGGGTAACATGGTGAAACTCCATCTCTGCTAAAAATAAAAAAAAGTAGCCGGGCGTAGTGGCACACACCTGTAGTCCCAGCTACTTGGGAGACTGAGGCAGGAGAATCGCTTGAACCTGGGAGGCAGAGGTTGCAGTGAGCCGAGATTGCGTTCTGCAGGAGGTACTAATTAAAATTGCGTACCTCCTAGTTTTTTCACTAAAAATAAGAGTTACTAAGAGTTAACATTACAATTCATAGATGTAATTTAAATTACTAGAGATAAGATAAATAATTCTACAAGCAACATGCAAAGAAAAGTAGAATGTGGTTTTTGGTAGAAACATAAGAAGGCATGGAAATAGGGCTTTTGTTAAAGGAAAAGTAATTCTGCCTCGTTAGAGGGGTTTATTTTATTTTATTTTATTTTATTTTATTTTATTTATTTTGAGATGGAGTCTCGCTCTGTTGCCCAGGCTGGAGTGCAGTGGCATGATCTCAGCTCACCATCAACCTCCACCTGCTGTGTTCAAGTGATTCTCCCGCCTCAGCCTCCCAAGTAGCTGGGACTACAGATGTGCACCACCACGCTCAGCTAATTTTTTGTATTTTTAGTAGAGATGGGGTTTCACCATGTTGGCCAAGCTGGTCTGAAACTCCTGACCTTCTGATCCACCCGCCTTGGCCTCCCAAAGTGCTGGGATTACAGGTGAGCCACCACGCCTGGCCAAAATAATCTTTTATAACTTTTTTTGTTGGAAACATTGCTGATTCTTTTTGCTTTGTTTTTCAGAGTCAAGAAAACTTTTCTTTTGAACATTTACAGCTTTTCACAATGAAGCGTACTCTTGTAAGCAAAATTTGAGGCATATTTCTTTCTCTCTACCTGATTTCTCCAGAATTCAGAAACTATTTCTGAGATTTTGTTTGTTTGTTTGTTTTTTGAGAAGGAGTCTTGCTCTATCTCCCAGGCTGGAGTGCAGTGGGGCGATCTCAGCTCACTGCAATGTCTGCCTCCCAGGTTCAAGCGATTCTCCTGTCTCAGCCTCCTGAGTAGCTGGAATTACAGGCGCCCGCCACCACGCCTGGCTAATTTTTGTATTTTTAGTAGAGACAGGGTTTCACCATGTTGGTCAGGCTGGTCTCGATCTCCTGACCTCATGATCTGCCTGCCTCAGCCTCCCAAAGTGCTGGGATTACAGGCATGAGCCACCACGCCTGGCCTTATTTCTGAGTATTCATGATTTATGGCAATATACTTATTTGCATGAGTTTAATAAAAATCTGTTTTCTTTCTTAACAGGACATAATTTTGACACTGATTATTTTACCAAGGCTTTGGCTAGAATGCCATATTTTAAGATATAAGCAGACTGCTTTGAGAACTTGAGATTGATGTTATAGAACTGATTAAAAAAAAAAACAACCCTTGGAAAAACTGACCTCATACTTTGTCTACGCATTTCCTTTACAGGGTTCCTGACAGGTAGTAAGTAAGAATATCACTTTCTCACAGACCTAGGAACCACACGTTATTTTGAGACCTTGAGAAGACAGAAATTTACCTCATTCATACAAGTATCTGCAGGCACAGATAAATCCTTGGCTGGACTCAAGAAAAACTCTAATCTGAGATTCCTTATGAAAAGCTCTAGCAAAACCAATTCAAAAAGAGCCTAGGGCCATGCACAGCGGCTCAGGCCTGTAATCCCAAAACTTTGGGAAGCCGAGGCGGATGGATCACCTGAGGTTGGGAGTTCGAGACCAGCTTGACAAACATGGAGTAACCCCGTCCTGACTAAAAATACAAAATTAGCTGGGCTTGGTGGCGCATGCCTGTAATCCCAGCTACTCGGGAGGTTGAGGCAGGAGACTCGCTTGAACCCGGGAGGCAGAGGTTGCAGTGAGCTGAGATTGCACCATTGCACTCAGCATGGGCAACAAGAGTGGAAACTCTGTCTCAAAAAAAAAAAGAGCCTATTGGCCAATAATTAGTCTTGCTGCGCTTTATGCAAATAATCAGACCAAGTATAATAAGACTAAAACTTATTTTGCAGATACATTGGTCCCACTATGATTTTGATTTTGGTAAAAATAGGGGACTGGAGAGAGAAAAATTATTTCAAAGAAAATTATAGTATACTCATTATAAGATTCTAGCCTTGTCCATTGTTTTTCAGTTTTCACTATTTGTCTACAATTTATTCAGACTAGATCCTGAATTCTTTCCTGGCTATAAGTCTCCAAAGTAGCATTTTCAAAAGAAAAATTTCTCCCATTTTTCTCACTTGGAATCACTAGAAATTAAAACTGTGCTTTTCTTACAGCCCTGCAAACTGAAGCTAGAAAACTTAAACTTTGTAGCGTAATAGCAGAAATAGTAGCATCTGCAGATAACTGTATTTTCACAAGCTTACTTTTTCTTATGTACAATGTAGACTTACTAAGTGCAAGACAAATGCATAATAGATTTTTTCTCTACTCCCTTCTTTTCACCTATAAAATGTAGATTCACTGAGCACTAATCAGAGCCTCACACACCCCACCTTTGTGCCTACCTACTGAAGTATGGACTTCTCGGTAGCATATCCTAAATTACTTTTCCAGGATTGCATTCCCTTTGTTTCTATAATCTGGTCTTGGTCCCTCCCTTTTGTTTCTCTTTTTCCCTTTTTTCTTTCTCTCTTTCCCTTTTTTCTTTCTCTCTTCCTCCCTCTATTTTTCTCCATGGGACAAGAGACTTTACAAGCCCCTAAGAATAAGCCTTCCTAGCAACATGGGATCTCATCTTCCAGGAATAAATCATTCTAGCAGAAGAGGTTAGACTAAACCCATGAGCAGACACCCATTTTCTTCTACCATGCTTTCTCTGAAAGATTTTGAATAACAAGGGAGAAATGTGAAAAGAAAATAGAATCTCAGGACCCCAAACTGCTATGCAAGAAAGTTAAGCTTGGAAACTGAGTCATGCAAAATTTGCCTTCCTTTTGTTCCCAAACATATAACTGTAATTTTACATGCTTACTTTAGCTTATGTAAAATATAGATTTACTGAACATGATGTGAATGCATAACTGACTTCTTCCTCCCTCCCTTCTTTTCACATGTAAAATGTAGATTCACTAAGGACTAATCACAGCCTCACAAGTATGTAACCACTCGCATCATTGCCTACCTGTCCTTCCTTTTTTTTTCTTTCCTCTCCTGCTTGCCCTTTCTCCTTTAAATATTGAAGGTCCCAAAATCCTCCTTGGAAAAAGCACAGGTCACAGGTCCTATTGTGGCTTATGTTTCTTTTCCCCCAGCATATTTTCAACCTTGGCAAAATGAACACCGAATTGATTGAGATCTGCCTCAGTCACTTTTTGGTTTACAAAGCTAAATTAATTACATTTGTAAATTAAAAACAAGGGGCCAGGTGCAGTGGCTCATGCCTGTAATCCTAGCACTTTGGGAGGCCGAGGTGGGTGAATCACCTGAGGTCAGGAGACCAGCCTTGCCAACATGGCAAAACCCTGTCTTTACTAAAAATACAAAAATTGGCCGGGCATGGTGGCAGGCACCTGTCATCCCAGCTACTCGGGAGGCTGAGGCAGGAGGCAGAGGTTGCAGTGAGCCAAGATCACACCACTGCACTCCAGCCTGGACAACAGAGTGAAACTCCGTCTCAAAAAAAAAAAAAAAAAAAAAAAGAGGCTGGGCACATTGGCTCATGCCTGTAATCGCAGCACTTTGGGAGGCCAAGGCAGGCAGATCATGAGGTCAGGAGTTCAAGACCAGCCTGGCCAACATGGAGAAACCCCATCTGTACTAAAGATACAAAAAATTAGCCAGGTATGGTGGCATACACCTGTAATCCCAGCTACTCGGGAGACTGAGGCAGGAGAATCACTTGAACCCAGGAGGCCAAGGTTGCAATGAGCTGAGATCACACCATTGCACTCCAGCCTGGGCAACAAGGTGAGACCCCATCTCAAAAAAAACAAAAACAAAAACAAAAACAAAAAGATAGCAGCTATTTAGAAAAAAAAAAAAAAACAAGAGCTTGGAGTCGCAAAGAAGACAAGCACTCAAACAAAAGGATTTCTCAGCAAGGCAAGTTTACTTCTGCAGAAGGGTGCTGCTTGCACTTCTGGCTGCTGTGAGAGCACACCGAACAATGGACAGAAGCGGGTTTTATCCCTAACGCAATCAGCCCCTGCTACTGTGTCCTGTCCCCATTTGCTGAAGTCAGACTGCACAATCTAAGCTGATCCCAATTGGCTATTTCAAATGGAGCAGGAGTGTGAGTAAGTAGGGCGGGAAGGGCTGTTTCAGCGAGAAGAGAGAGGCCATCCTTTACTGTGCAAAACATGTCAGGGCATGGCAAAGGCAGGAAGAGCCCTCTGCAAGTTACAGATTGGAACTGGCGGGAGTTGGTGTTTACAGAGCGGGTAACTAGGAACAAGAGAGTACAAGGAAGTTGGGTTTTAGAAATAGAAAACAAAGAACAAGGAAGTTGAAGAAGCTGAACCTTTGAAGAGGAACTTACTGTATCTAACAGAACAAATGAGGCTTCTGCAAGACAATTGAAATGATACACTCACAACAATCCTTCATGAAAGTAACATATTAGCCACCTGAGTTTCTGCTTTAGGTTATGAACTCCAAAATGGACTGGCCCCCAGTAATTTACAGTAGGTAGTCCTAAGCCATAAATAAATAGAATCTGTGAATATTAGCTTTGTTCATCTGTAAGAACTTAAGAAAGTGCTGGGCATTGGGTCAGTTCAAGTCTATTGGATGAACTGTGAATCTCATAATCATGGAAATGTAGGAATAAAGATAAATATACATAAACCAGGCCAGGCTCGGTGGCTGACTCCTGTAATCCCAGCACTTTGGGAAGCCAAGGCAGGAGGATCACCTGAGGTTGGGACCAGCCTGACCAACATGGAGAAACCCCATCTCTACCAAAAATACAAAATTAGCCAGGCATGGTGGCACATGCCTGTAATCCCAGCTACTCGGTAAGCTGAGGCTGGAGAATCGCTTGAACCCTGGAGGTGGAGGTTGCGTTGAGCCAAGATCGTGCCATTGCACTCTAGCCTGGGCAACAAGAGTAGAAACTCTGTCTCAAAAAAAAAAAAAAAAAAGTAAACCACAGATTACCTAATGCTAAGGTTTTGTTATAGGAAAGGAGTCTTGATTCAGACCCCAAGAGAGGGCTCTTGGATCTTGCACAAGGAAGAATTCAGGGCAAGTCCATAGAGTAAAGTAAACCAAGTTTATTAGAAAAGTAAAAGAACAAAAGAATGGCTACTCCATCAACAGAGCACCCCTGAGGGCTGCTGGTTGCCCATCTTTATGGTTATTTCTTGATGATATGCTAAACAAGGGGTGGGTTATTTATGCCTTCCCTTTTTAGACCATATAGAGTAACTTCCTGTCGTTGCCACAGCATTTGTAAACTGTCATGGTGCTGGTGAGAGTGTAGCAGTGAGGACGACCAGAGGTCACTCTCATCACCATCTTGGTTTTGGTGGGTTTTGGCTAGCTTCTTTACTGCAACCCATTTTATCAGCAAGGTCTTTAGGACCTGTATCTTGTGCTGACCTTCTGTCTCATCCTATGACTTAGAATGCCTTAACCATCTGGGAATGTGGCCCAGTAGGGTTCAGCCTTATTTTACTCAGCCCCATTCAAGATGGAGTTGCTCTGGTTCACATGCCTCTGACAGTTTGAATGACCCCCCAAAACTCATGTTGACATTTAATTGCTATTCTGATAGTATTAAGAGGGGAGACCTTTAAGAGTTGATTAGGTTGAATAGATTAATGTCATTATTGTGGGAGTGGGCTCCTGATAAAAAGTATGTTTGGCCCCTTTGCCCTACCTCCTTTCACCATGGGATGACACTACAGGAAGGCCCCCACAAGATGCTGATACCATGCTCTTGGACTTCCCAGCCTCCAGAACTGTAAGAAATACATATTTTAATAAATTGCCCAGTCTATGGTATTCTGTTACAGCAGCAGAAAATGAAACCTAGTTTGTTATGTTATCATGTTTATTTATTTATGTTTGTTATTCTTGAGTCATAATAGAGTCTTACTCAGATGTGCATTCATGCCTGGTCTCTGCTGGAGGGGCCTGTCTTCAGCCAGGGACAAGCAGAACATTATGGTCAGCATCATCCACAAGGTCAAGAGGCCACAGAGCCCCCTGAGGGCAGTATACTGGCCCCTTCGATATTGTATCCTACCCAGCAGGTTAGTAGGACTGCATGACTGACAGGAATCATTGTAGCCTTCATAGCAAAGTTTTATGGAGACGGGGCTAAGGCTATTGAAGTCCAGCCATTAGATTAATGTAGGAGCTTGCTGTCAGAGACCCTGCTGGGCACTTTTTGTTCCTGTCACAGATGACCTTCACAACAACCTTTCAAGAGAGCTCTTTTCATTTCACTTTTCTTGTATGTGGATGTCCAGTTTTTCCAGTGCCATTTATTGAAAAGACAGTCTTTTCTCCACTGTATTGTCTTTGCTCCTTTATCTGTATTTACGTGGGTCTATTTCTTGGTTCTCTATTCTGTTTCATTGATCTATTTGTCTATTCTTTTGCCAATACAACACTGTCTTTTTTAAATTAAATTATTTTGGTTGACAAATAAAAGTTATATTTGGGTGTATAGCATCATGTTTTCATATACGTATACATTGTAAAATGGCTAAAGCAAGCCATTAACATATACATTACCTCACATACTTTTTGTGGTAATAATGCTTCAAATAATTTATCTTATAATTTTGAAATATACAATATGTGGTTACTAAGTTTAATCACCATAAAGTACAATAGATCTCTTAAACTTATTCTTCCTATCTAATTGAAATTTTGTGTTGGTTGGGCATGGTGGCTCATGCCTGTAATCCCAGCACTTTGGGAGGCCGAGGCGGGTGGATCACTTGAGGTCAGGAGTTCGAGACCAGACTGGTCAACATGGTGAAACTAAAAATACAAAAATTAGCTGGATGTGGTGTCACATGCATATAGTCCCAGCTACTTGGGAGGTTGAGGCACAAGAATCACTTGAACCCGAGTGATTCAGAGACTGCAATGAGCCAAGATCATGCCACTGCACTCCAGACTGGGTGACAGAGAGAGACTCTTGTCTTTTTTTTTTTTTTTTTTTTTTGGTAGAGTCTCTCTCTGTTGCCCAGGCTGGAGTTCAGTGGTTCAGTGGTGCAATCTCAGCTCACTGCAACTTCTACCTCCCGGGTTCAAGCAATTCTCCTGTCTCAGCCTCCCGAGTAGCTGGGACTACAGGCGCATGCCACGACACCCGGCTAATTTCTTTTGTATTTTAGTAGAGACAGGGTTTCACCATGTTGCCCAGGCTAGTCTCTAACTCCTGAGCTCAGGCAATTTGCCTGCCTCGGCCTCCCAAAGTGCTAGGATTACAGGCTTGAGCCACTGCGCCCAGCCGAGACTCTGTCTTTAAAAAAAAAAAAAAGAAAGAAAGAAAAGAAATTTTGTGTCATTTGCTTACCCCTCCCCAATCCTCCCACCTCCCAGCCTCTGACAACTACCGGTTTACTCACCATGTATATGAGTTTGGCTTTTTTTACATTCCACATATATGTGAGATCATGTTTGTCTTTTTGCGCCTGGCTTATTTCACTTAACATAATGTCTTCTAGGTTCATTCATGTTGTTGACTGAATAGTATCCCACTGTGTATATATACCACATTTTCTTTATACATTCATCCATTAATGGATACTTAGGTTGATTCCATATCTTGGCTCTTGAGAATAACACTGCAGCCAGGTGTGGTGGCTCGCACATGGAATCCAGCTACTCAGGAGGCTGAGGCAAGATGACCACTTAAGGCCAGGATTCTGAGACCAAGCTGGGCAATGCAGTGACACCCTACCTCTAAAGAAAGAAGAAAGAATAATGCTGCAATGAACATGGAAGGGCAGACATCTCTTTGACACACAGATTTTATATCCTTTGAATATATATTCAGTGGTAGGATTGCTGGATCATATGGTAGTTCTATATTTTAATTTTTTGAGGAACCTTCATACTCCTTCCAGCAATGACTATACCAATTATCTGTCTGGATTACTGCAGTTTTATAGAAAGTCTTGAAGTCAGGTGTGGCAGTACTTTGACTTTGTTTTCCTCCTATATTGTGCTGGCTAGGCCTTTTGCCTCTCCATATAAACCTTTTTTGTTTTTTTTGAGACAGAGTTTCGCTCCTGTTGCCCAGGCTGGAGTGCAATCTCAGCTCACTGCAACCTCCACCTCCTGGGTTCAAGCGATTCTCCTGCCTCAGCCTCCCAAGTAGCTGGGATTACAGGCACCCGCCACCACACCCAGCTAATTTTTGTATTTTTAGTAGAGACGGGGTTTCACCATGTTGGCGAGGCTGGTCTTGAACTCCTGACCTCAGGTCATCTGCCCCCCTCGGCCTCCCAAAGTGCTGGGATTACAGACATGAGCCACTGTGCCCGGCCTCTCCATATAAATTTTTAAATCAGCTTGTGAGTATACACAAAATAACGTCCTGGGGTTTTGACTGGGATTGCATTGATTCTATAGATCAGGTTGGGAAGAAATGACATATTAACAATATTGAGTCTTCCTGGTCTTGCATCCCAGGTTCAAGCTATTCTCCTGCCTCAGCCTCCCGAGTAGCTGAGATTACAGGTGCCCACCACTACGCCTGGCTAATTTTTTGGATTTTTAGTAGAGATGGGGTTTCACCATGTTGACCAGGCTGGTCTCGAATTCCTGACCTTGTGATTCGCCTGCCTCAGCCTCCCAAAGTGCTGGGATTACAGGCGTGAGCCACCATGCCCAGTTCTTTTGTAGCATTTCAAGATGTTCCAGGCTTATCTTGTATTTTTCCTACTTCACCCCTAGAATCAGCTATTTTTCTAAGGAGCCCTGGTTCCTTCTATTGGAGATTGATGTATTATAACCAAAATCTGGGCATTGGGTGCTCATTTCACTTTCCTAAGGAGGACATAGAGGTTCTGTTGATGACATCTGTGATACCTCTGTCTTTGTCTTCTTCATTTAAAAGAATGTAAACAAGAGACACACAGCAAAGGAGATGCAGTACAGAGCAATTTATTGCAAAGGAAAAATGATATTTTGAAAGTTAAGTGCAGAATAGATAGTATGCCCTGAGAGAGAGGATTCAGGGTGGACTGCTCCTAAGGATGAGACAGCATTGATTATTGCTGCAGAAACTCCCTTTATGGGGGTCTTACATGATTATTCATAAGGAGGTGGGAAGAGGTGTTACTAGTCAGCATGTTCTGGGTGGTCCTCTGGGTGGGTGGTCCTCTGGATGCACATGTGCAGTAGCTATACATGCTTGTTCATGCATCTCATGTCTCATAAGCATCTTAAATCTCCACCCAGGGGTGTGTTTCTTACTATTGTAATGAGCTAAGGGTCAGTTTGACGGTAGGTAAAATCAAAATGCGCATGCTCTCTACAGGGTAAATTCCCTACTGGAGATAGCTTTGCTTGAATGAGCTGGTCTACAGTGTGAATGCTGGAGCTTATTGTGTTGACTGTATGGTTATCACTGTTGCTGCATCCCAAGGACACAGTTACTTCCTTGACTCCCTATCCTGCCTCAATTCCTCCCTAAAAGATCTTAGGACCCATAATCATACGGGAGGATGAGAGGCTAGGTCATTTCTTCCAGAGCTGCTTCCTGCTGAGTGCGGCATTGTCCTTGCCTAACCTGGGCCCTGAAGTCTTTTCCTGCCTAGTCTAACAGTGTGTAAGCCATGTCTTTCAGGGGACTGGTGGGCAAGATGTGAGATAGCTCATTAGCAGCCAAAGGTTGGAAGCCTTGCAAAACCATCACATGAACCGGGATTTGCTGTAGGTGACAAAGCAAGAAATCAGCAATTTTTTTTTTTTTTTGAGACAGTCTGGCTCTGACGCCCAGGCTGGAGTGCAATGGAGTGATCTCAGCTCTCAGCTCACTGCAACCTCTGCCTCCCAGGTTCAAGTAATTCTCCTGCTTCAGCCTCCCAAGTAGCTGAGATTACAAATGCCTGCCACCACACCTGGCTAATTTTTTGTATTTTTAGTAGAGACAGGGTTTCAACATGTTGGCTAGGCTGGGAAATCAGCATTTTAAACAAAGTTGGACCAAAAGTTAGAGCTAAACATATGGTAATGACTGGCATTGTTAAAGGGAGCAAGGCAGAAAACAGCCATTGCTTCCAAGTTCCCATGGACGCTCCTAAATATTCAATTTTGTCTGCCTGGGTAATGATTTTCTTGTTCCAAGAAAATGCTATTAATATATATTTGTAATTTGATTGATGCAAAAACAACA
This sequence comes from Homo sapiens, assembly GCF_000001405.40. Classification (NCBI taxonomy): domain Eukaryota; kingdom Metazoa; phylum Chordata; class Mammalia; order Primates; family Hominidae; genus Homo; species Homo sapiens. The sequence continues at coordinate 2,513,876 of NT_167249.2, read as the reverse complement.
TTCTTCTTCTCGTTACAAACATGTTGCTCATTGTCCGACTGTGAGAAGGTCTAAGGCTCTTCGGTTTTGTAGGACTGCCAGGAAGTCCAGCTGTTGCTGAAGTCTAGTGAGGCTCTCTGCTGTTTGTCAGAGGGCCACTGTGGTCTCCTGAGACAATTTATGCTGGGTTCCCAAGGCTCTGTCTCTGTGGCTGGCTCTGCTAGTCCAGATAGAGAGGATAGCACCAACCCCAAGGGAACAAGGAATCCTGCTCAGCGGTGGATCTTGTGATGTTGGTACATGGGGAAAGGGAGAGATTTGTTAGCCAATGCAAAAGGTAGATAAGGGGAAATGTAAACTATGGGACATCATCCCTTCCATTGTGGAGGGAGTTGTAGACGTGCTGAAGATCCACAAATACCAACAAATTATTATTTTTTTTTTTTTGAGACAGAGTCTCACTCTGTTGCCAGGCTGGAGTACAGTAGTGCGATCTCAGCTCACTGCAACCTCGGACTCCCTGGTTCAAGCGATTCTCCTGCCTCAGCCTCCTGAGTAGCTGGGATTACAGGCACATGCCACCATGTCTAGCTAATTTTTGTATTTTTAGTAGAGACAGGGTTTCACCATGTTGGCCAGGATTGTCTCAATTTCCTGACCTCGTGATCCACCCGCCTCAGCCTCCCAAAGTGCTGGGATTACAGGCGTGAGCCACTGCGCCTGGTCAACACAAACAAATTCTATGTGATGGTGAAATTTGTGCTGCAAAAGCATTTTGCATCGAGTTGGTAAAAGTAATGGAAATTTGGTGGTCACTGGACTAACTAGAGGATGGTAGAGTTGAGTGGTGTTAATAAGCTTTTCGAAATAAGGTTCCCCCTTTAGGGTTCTATCATGAGGTGTATAAATGATTCTGTGAGAAAGGTTTAGATATACTGACTCTCTTGTGGAGTTTTTCTATAAAAGGAGTGAAACTGGCATGGTTGCTGTAAAGGCAGAAGGGGAATTGCTCTGGGTAAAAAGCAAGGTAAGAAAGCAATTTTCCCCTTGGCAGAGTGAAGCTATTATTCATAGATAAAAATGGAAGTTTGAACTGGCAGTGGCCAGGTCCAAGGAACTCTCTTTGTATTGTTTGTTTAGTCAGATATTCCCACATTATGGTCCAAAGTTTGTTCCAGGAGGTGTATAGGAATGTTGGCCCATTCTTCCCGAGAAACAGGTTTTGCACATTTTTAAATTTTGGTAGTCATGCAAAGCCAGCAAGACTGAGTTAATTTTTATAAATTAGTAGTATGGTTTATTATTTCTTTAGCAGATAAGGTTGTTTTACTAAAAGCGCCTAAAATACAGTAAATAAATAAGAAAAAAATAAAAACATCACATTTCACTGTGAGTTGTTTTCTTGAATAGAAGCTTATGCTGAGGCAACATTAATTGCCTGATGTTTTGGGTCTTGGCTGTTTTTGGACAGGAGCCTTAGATCCTCCAGTGCTTCATAGGAATAGCTTGGAGTCTTTGTTTCAAGTTTCTGTGATGACTTAAAAGGAATCATTTTTTATTTTTGACAAACACACCAAAGGCCTACACCCCTAAGTTTTACTGCAGCAGAAGTTGGTCAGCTGCATGGTAGAGTGAAAATCCCAGTCTGGAGTTTGCTATTAACACCAATGACAGTGTCGTGTTTGGTAGACAGAGGCCCAGGGCAGACAGTGAGAACTGACAGGCCAGCCTCTGTCTTTAAAAGGATATTGATATTTTTGCCTGTCATGTCCAGGGTCATCCGAGGCTCCATTGCTGTGACTGGGGCTGATTGCCACATAGGAGCTGTTTTTTGCCTTTGGTCTCTTTAGTCTTTAGCCAGGGACAATAAGGAATTAGGAGTCCCTCCTCCCTTCAGAGTTGGAGACAATCCTTCTTCCATTGCCCTTCTTTGTCACATTGATGACAGGCTCCAGAGGGTTTGCAAGCCTGAAGGCCTTTGTTACTTACTTAGCTCCAGTGTCCAGGCTTTTTATAAATGCAGGAATAGCCCTTGGGTTCCACTCAGGATGACCTGGAGGTGGGAGTTTTCGCATAGTGAGTGAAGGCCAAAAATTGGGACTATCTTTTGTCTCTCTTTTCTTCCCTTTGATCTCTATGTGCCTTTTCCACTCTGTCTTGGTAATTAAAGACACCAAAAGTTAGGTTTAGCAGTTCATTTATTGGGACTTGGGGATTTATGACTAGTTTTGTGACTTTTTCCTCATATCTGGGACAGACTGACTCATGAAGTAGGTCTCTAAGAGGATTTGGTTGTTTTTCTGTGTGTTACCTGAGAGAGGGAGATACAGATAGAGAGTGAGAGTAGGTTGCTTTTTGTTTTAGGGGGGCAATAGGATACTCTGCTATGAGTTGTCCCAGCAGGACTGGGCTCTTTAGGGAGTGTTTGGTGAACAAGCTGATAAGGACGGGGTGCAGAAGACTGTGTGTCAAGTGAGGAAGGACTACAGGAGTAGAAGCTTAAGAGGTTTGAAGAGTAACCCTGGACTAGATTGTAAGGGAGGAAAGTTGTTGGTAGGAGGTATTTTTCTTTCTTTCTTTTTTTTTTTTTTTTTGAGACAGAGTCTCACTCATCACCCAGGCAGGAGTGCAGTGGTGTGATCTCAGCTCGCTGCAACCTCCGCCTCCTGGACTCAAGTGATTCTCCTGCCTCAGCCTCCTAAGTAGCTGGGATTACAGGCCTGCGCCACCACACCCGACTAATTTTTTTATTTTTAGTAGAGACAGGGTTTCACCATGTTGGCCAGGCTGGTCTCGAACTCCTAACCTCAAGTGATCCACCCACCTTGGCCTCCCAAAGGGCCACTGTTGCACCCAGCTGGTATATTTCTCATTATAGAGTCATTAATTATGTTAGATTTCCCCAAATTCTTTTTTGAGACAGAGTCTCGCTCTGTCACCCAGGATGGAGTGCAGTGGTGCGATCTCGGCTCACTGCAACCTCCGCCTCCCACATTCAAGTGATTATCTTGCCTCAGCTTCCTGAGTAGCTGGGATTACAGGTGCAAGCCACCATGCCTGGCTAATTTTTGTATTTTTAGTAGAGATGGGGTTTCACCATGTTGGTCAGGCTGGTCTCGAACTCCTGACCTCATGATCCACCTGCCTTGGCCTCCCAAAGTGCTGGGATTACAGGCGTGAGCCACTGCGCCCGGCCTCCCGAATTCTTTTGAATAACATGAGCATAATAGATTTGGTATCAGTCTCTAAGGGACTGGTCTTAGTATAGAGCTGTCTGGTTAGTAGGGGGAATAATGTCAGGTTCCCCTGGGCCCTTGGAAAATCCCTGATCATCCTCTTTTTTTTTTTTTTTTTTTTTTTTGAGATGGCGTCTCTCTCTGTCACCCAGGCTAGAGTGCAGTGGCTGAATCTTGTCTCACTGCAACCTCTGCCTCCCAGGTTCAAGTGATTCTCCTGCCTCAGCCTCCCGAGTAGCTGGGAGTACAGGCACGTGCCACCATGCCCAGCTAATTTTTGTATTTTTAGTAGAGACGGGGTTTCACCATATTGGCCAGGCTGGTCTCAAATTCCTGACCTCGTGATCTGCCCGCCTTGGCCTCCCAAAGTGCTGGGATTACAGGCATGAGCCACTGCACCCAAACTTCCTTTGTTTTTATTTAAAAACAGCAACAACAACAAAAACTCTAATTGTAAAACAGTATTGTTTGGGACCATGCAGTGTTGAAAAGACCTAATCATGGAAATTTATTTATCTTTTTTTTCAGGTTAGTAATGGCCAACCTTATATGTGCCCTTAATGTTTTAATTTTGGCCTTAAAATAACAGCTTAGGACATGTAAGTAGCTATGTTCATTAGGCTTTCTAGGTCTCGTAAGGGGAATTTGGTAGAAAATATATTTCACCCAGCAATTAGTTTTCTTCCAGGGCTGGGCACTGTGGCTCACACCTGTAATCACAGCATTTTGGGAGGCTGAGGCAGGCAGATTGCCTGAGGTCAGGAGTTCCAGAGCAGTCTGGCCAATATGGTGAAACCCCATCTCTACTAAAAATACAAAAAAATTAGCCAGGCGTGGTGGCACACACCTGTAGTCCCAGCTACTCGGGAGGCTGAGGCAGGGGAATTGCTCAAACCAGGGAGGTGGAGGTTGCAGTGAGCTGAGATCGGGCCACTGCACTCCAGCCTGGGTGACAGAGTGAGATTTTGTCTCAAAAAAAAAAAAAAAAAAAGTTTTCTTCCGGTAAAGATAAAACTCTCTTTGCTCTCACCAAAGGCAGAGGAGCCCTGACACACAAAGCAGAAAGAAAGAACCTTTAGGACAATTTTTATCAGTCTTACGGGTTAGAGAGAAAAAGAAAGCAAATGAAAGTCTGTGAATACAGATGGATCAAAAAGGACAATAAATTTTCATGGAAGGACAGAATTCAAAAGGGGTGAGATGCAAAGAAGTGCAAACATAACAAGATGATTGTTAGCAGTAAGAAAAATGAAGATCTCCAGACATTGCAAATGAGGATTCCCAGACAGTGCACAGCCTGGACGGAAGCCCTGCCAGCTTCACAAACCTCCTGTCAAGGAGGGCCACAGTGAACTAGATCTACTTGGTGTGAACTTTGAAGTCCTCACCTCTGCTTGTCACCTATCAGGCTATCAGGATGAACTGATAAATCAGCTGAAGGGAGCAAAGTCACAGTGCGTGAGAATTGTTTTGGAGATTTGTAAGTGGAAGAATGAGAGGAAAGGGAGAGACTCAGTGATGGAAAAGAAAACCTTAAGCCTTAAAGTGGTGAGGATTGTATCAATAGTTTTATTCTTTGGCAACTGTTTATTATATTTATTTAAAAAAAAATTTTTTTTTGAGACGGAGTTTTGCTCTTGTTGCCCAGGCTGGAGTGCAATGGCATAATCTCGGCTTACTGCAACCTCCGCCTCCTGGTTCAAGCAATTCTCCTGCCTCAGCCTCCCGAGTAGCTGGGATTACAGGAATGTGCCGCCATGCCCAGCTAATTTTGTATTTTTAGTAGAGATGGGGTTTCTCCATGTTGGTCAGGCTGGTCTCAAAATCCCAACCTCAGGTGATCTGCCCACCTCGGCCTCGCAAAGTGCTGAGATTACAGGTGTAAGCCATCGCACCCACCTATTATCTTTTAATTTATACAGTTTCAAAATATTCCAATGTTTAGTATATACCCTAGAGGTGTTTCAGTGACAGTAGAGGAGGTGGCTTTCTAGGTAACAAGAGAATCCTGCAACCACAGAAACATGTACCAAAATCCAGGAGGTCATCGGCATCCCTGTGAGCTAAGCTGGACGATGGAGTCCAGGGTGTTCCCTTGAATCCCCATGAAACTGAGGCCCTAGGAGGACATGGGCATTTGCCATGCACCATTCTAGGTCTCACTGGTGCTGGACGTCTCCAAGCTGAACTGAAGTGATCTCTGCTGCCAGCCGGGGAGCCTGGATGTCTCACCAACAAGCCCTTCCTTATTTCACTGATCTGCCATTTTTAATGTCCAGTCATCATGCTTGGAATGCCTGGTTATAGTCCCCATGACTACACATCCATGTGGCCACACATCCTGCACTCAACATGGATGGCCTCTTGGAACGTCTCCTGTTCTCAGAGGAGACGTTCAGAACACACTCCTCTGAGACTCAGAGGAGTCTCAGAACACACAGAGCCTGGAGGAATGGGGACTGTTGGCAAAAGTAGATCTAATGTGTCCCTCAAGGTGAACAAAAATCTTTGAAGAGATTACTTGATTAACAAACAAGTGCTGGGCGCGGTGGCTCATGTCTGTAATCCCAGCACTTTGGGAGGCCAAGGTGGGCTGATCATAAGGTCAGGAGTTCGAGACCAGCTGAGCCAGTATGGTGAGACCCCCGACTCTATTAAAAATACAAAAATTAGCCTGGCGTGATGGTGCACGCCTGTAATCCCAGCTACTTGGGAGGCTGAGGCAGGAGAATCGCTTGAGCCCAGGAGGTGGAGGTTGCAGTGAGCCGAGATAGAGCCACTGCACTCCAGTCTGGGTGACAGAGTGAGACTCTTGTCTCAAAAAAAAAAAAAAAAAAAAAAACAAGTTACAATAGCCAGTAAGTACAGATCAGGTGCAGTCCTGGGAGGAACAGCAAAACAAAAAGTGAAACAGAAGCAGCAAAAGTCCCAAGGCTGAATAATCAGGGCGTTCCATCCAAATAAGGTAATTGTAAACACTGTAAAAGCAGCAGCCAAATGGAAAGCAATCACAATTAGTTGCTCAAAGAATGTGAGTGAGTTAAAAGGTCCTCCCCCAAAACCTTAATAGAATAGATCTGGGGAAAGCAGTGACAGTCAATCAGGGGTCTCTGGCTGCCATAGTACTCACCAGTAGTGAAGGGAAACTGAAACCAACGAAGCAGACAAACCTCTGAGTCATGGCACCGGAAATGTTGACGGCTGTTGTAATACCTTGGTTCTTGACTTCTTCATTTAAAAGAATTTAAACAAGAAACACGCAGCAAAGGAGATGAAGTACAAAGCAATTTATTACAAAGGAAAAATATTATTTTGAAAGTTAAGTGCAAAATAAACTGTACACCCTGAGAGGATTCAGGGTGGGCTGCTCCTAAGGATGAGACAGCATTGATCACTGCTGGAGAAACTCCCTTTATGGGAGTCTTACATGATTATTCACAGGAGGTGGGTGGGAAGAGGTGTTACTAGCAAGCATGTTCTGGGCGGTCTTCTGGGTGCACGTGTGCAGTAGCTGTACATGCTTGTTCATACATCTCATGACTCATTAGCATCTTAAATCTCCACCCAGGGCTGTGTTTTTTTTCACTATTGTGATGAGCAAAGGGTCAGTCTGAGAACAGGTGGAAATGCACGTGTTCTGTACAGGGTAAACTCCCTATTGGAGATAGCTTTGCTTGAATGAGCTGGACTACAATGTGAATGCTAGAGTTTATTGTGTTGATTGTGTGGTCATCACCAGTCGCTATGTCCCGAGGACATGGTTACTTTTTTCATTACCTATACTTCCTCAATTCCAACACCTGCCTGAGCTTACACAGGCAAATAAATGACTCATTTCAGCACCACCTTAGAGCTTATTCAGTGCAGCCTTTGACATCCCTCAGAGGAGAAGTTTTCCAAGCATGATTTTATTTTGTAAAGCCTCCGTTTTTTCAGCCTGCAGAGCTGAGACATTGATAATTTTATTCTCAAATATTTAGAGACTTTCTTATAAGATTTTCACATCTTGGTAACAAATTTCACTTACAAAATTTGCCAGAATAGGCAAAAGGAAAGAGACAGCAGGAGGGATCACTAAGATTTTTCTTTCCTGTGGAGTATTTCACTGTTCCTGCTTCTCTTTTCACTTTCCTGGGCTTGGGGGAAGGGCAGCTCCCTCGGACCATGAAAGAAAAATGGTAATACGGAAACATCTGTCTTTATCGCCTCCCCCCACCCTTCCACTCTGCTCTGGCTGTGCCCATTCTCCCTCCCACCCCCTGGCCCATAAGCCTTTTCCTTCTCCCAACCTCACCGAGAGCCCAAACTCTCACCTACAGCTGGCTCCTCAGTGGGAACTGAGTCATTACCTGCTAAAGGGTAGAAGAGGAGAGAGAGAGGCCAGAGCCTGGGGATGGGGCAGAAGGTGCGGCAGGAAGGAAGGTTAGAGTGAGAAAAATTTCCAAATAAGGGGTGATGTGTGAGTGCTCAGAGGGTGACTGAGGACATCTCCAGCATTTCCATTGAGGAGGGAGGAAGGAGGGGCCCTTGGGTTCTGGGGCAGATGCCGGCAGGGTCTGGATGAGATGCCCCCAACCTCAACCCTGGTCCTCTGAAAACACTTCACCCAGTCACACTGAGGAGCCCCTCCAGGCCCAGGGGCCCCTCCAGGTAGGCGTATCTCAGCTCCTCTCTGGAAGGACCCCCACAGCTGCCCAGCCCTGGTATGTCTCATCTCCCTGGTTCTGGTCCCCTTGAGTCTTGAGTCCGGGGTTGGCTCCTTCCCTTCCTGCAGCCGGGTCAGAGTGAGCTTGGCAGATGAGAAGCCAGGTGCTCTGCATGGCAAGGTGTGGTTGCCCTCAGGGTCCTCCTTGTCAGGGACCACAAGCCCTGGGGAAGGAGGCACTCGATGTAGGAGACAGAGAGCAGAGAGGTGGAGTGAGGGTGGGACACGCTTTGGCCTCCCCTCCTCTCCTAGTCTTCCTCCACATGCCAGTGCCTTTCCCTCCCCAACTCCAGGTCGTGTAAGAGCCACAGCAGGAAGGGTAGACCTGGGTCCCCAACATTCTTTGAAGAAGTCTTTCCATAAGTGTGTCCACCTCCATTCCCACTGCAGCTTTAGGGTCTGCCTCAGTGCAGAGCCCTGGGTATGTACAGAGCATAGGTGTACATGAGGGTGATTCTGGAAGGTTCTTCCTTTGCACATACCTGCGTGTCTCAGTTTCTCTCCTCTTCAAGTCTGCTCAAATGGCACCTTCATGAGGCCCACCCTGACCACCCTACTTAAAATGCCACCTCTATTACTTTGCATTGATTGTCAACTTTGCATTTTTTTTTTTTACTTTTTTTCTTTTTTTTGAGGTGGAGTCTTGCTCTGTCACCAGGCTGGAGGGCAGTGGTGCGATATTGGCTCACTGCAACCTTCACCTCCTGGGTTCAAGCGATTCTCCTGCCTCAGCCTCCAGGGTAGCTGGGACTACAGGTGCACGCCACCACACGCAGCTAATTTTTGTATTTTTAAGTAGAGACAGAGTTTCACCATATTGGCCAGGATGGTCTCGATCTCTTGACCTCGTGATCCACCCATCTCGGTCTCCCGAAGTGCTGGGGTTACAGGCGTGAGCCACCGCACCTGGCCTATTTTTTCTTTTTATCACCTATCACTTTGTAAACATAAAAGTCCTTTTCCAAAGATGGCCTCAACAATATCTCCCATCCCACATGCTCTTTAGCAATGTGACCTTGCCATCCTCTATCAAGAGCTGATGCTAATCCCCCTTTTTGGATCTGGGACTTGCTTTGGTGACTAGAACTGAGGAACGTGATGCTGCCTGACTTCTGAGGTTCCAGCATAAGATGCCTTGTGGTTCTGACTTGGCCACTTGAAACACCCGGACCCCAGGTGCAGAGCCAGAAGCAGCCAGGGCACGTGGAGGAGCAGGTGGAGGAGAAACCAAGTCACCTGGTTCACAGCCTCAGTGAGTTCCCAGCCAACAAGCCAGCACCAACTGCAGCCCTGTGCAGGAGCCTCTTGAATGTGTTGGACCAGCTGGGCTCCAGATGATGGTGGCCCAGCCCATGTTGTATGGAGCGGAAGAGCTGCCCAGCTGAGCCCAATCAGCCCACAGAATGAGAGATAATATAAAGGTTGTTTATAATATATATATACATATATATATATTTTGGGGGGGATGGAGTCTCACTCTGTCACCCAGGCTGGAGTGCAGTGGCACAATCTTGGCTCACTGCAACCTCCACGTTCTGGTTTCAAGCGATTCTCCTGCCTCAGCCTCCCAAGCAGCTGGGATTACAGGCACCTACCACCACGCCCAGCTAATTTTTGTATTTTTAGTAGAAACAGGGTTTCATCATGCTGGCCAGGCTGGTCTCGAACTCTTGACCTTGTGATCTGCCCACCTCAGCCTCCCAAAGTGCTGGAATTACAGGCGTGAGCCACCATGCCCGGCGTTTGTATGCGTTAAGATTATTTTTTGCTCAGCAATCAATTGCTGGAACACATCCATATAATTCACTACTGTTACTATATTTTTCTTTATTGTCTTTCAGATTGTAAGCATCAGGGAGCAGGTGTTAGTCTCTTTTGATTAAATGATCACCAGGCCTAGAAAAATGCCTGGTACAGAAGCACTTACTAAATATTTGTTAAATGGATGAATAAACTATGTGACCAGAATTCCTTAATACTGGGTCCGAGACTAGAAAGTGGGAGTTACTGGTTTGGTTTTGGCACTTGTTTAGTCAGCTTGTGCTGCCATAACAAAACACCACAGATGGATTGGTTAACAACAGACATTTCTTTCTCACAATTCTGGACCCTGGAAATCTGAGGTTAGGGAACCAGCAGATTCAGTTCCTGGTGAGGGCCCTCTTCCTGCCTGGCAGACAGCTGCCTTCTTGCCATATCCTCACGTGGTGAAGAGAGTGGGAGCTCCAGTCTCTTCTTTTTCTTAAAAGGACACTAATCCCATCATGGGGGCCCCAACCTCTCAACCTCTTCTGAATCTAATCACTTCCCAAGATGGCCACCAGTCTCAAGGAGTTTACTGTCACAGTGGGAGCAAAGATGCTACAGCAGGTTGTAAAATTAGGTGTCATCCCAGTCAGTGGGGAGAGGACAGGTAATTCAGGGAAGGGGACCTGGATAGAGCTCACCCATAGGATATGGCAGGTCCCAGAACTCTACTGAAATCAAGTCTGGATAAAAGTCAATAATATTCTTCTGACCGAATTCCTTTCAGTCTTCCTGAGGGATGGGCAGGCTCATTCCAGAATAAAGAAGATGCCTGGGGTAAAGAAGACTAGTCTCCAAGGGCACTGGCCCAGGACACCTAGGTTCTACTGGTCACCAACGCCCACCCAGATCTCTCCTGGGTGGAGCCTTGTTCCAAGCCTCTCACAGCCCTTGCCTGCATTCCCATGGTGCTCACCATGGATAACAGGGCCACAGCCAGCCTCAGAGCCAGACTGTTAAGTGAAACCACTGATCCTTGCTGAATTACTTCTTTGAGGCTGAGATAAACTTCACATTTCAGCCTCATTAATAAGATTAATTGTAAATCCAAATGGCCTGCAAATCTATAAACAGTCGCTCAGTTGATTAGCCAGAACATTGAGGACTGTTAATGATACAGGAAAAGGCCCATTTTGGAGGTGAGAAGCTGAGGAGCCTGAAACTGTTTCCATTGTTTATGAAAGTAATCTGACAATTATGAATGAAAATACCCACCACCCCCCGACCCAGCAATCCAAGGTGGGAAATATCTTTTTTTTTTTTGAGACGGAGTTTTGCTCTTGTCCCCCAGGCTGGAGTGCAGTGATGCAATCTCAGCTCACTGCAACCTCCATCTCCCAAGTTCAAGTGATTCTCCTGCCTCAGCCTCCCAAGTAACTGAGATTACAGGTGTGTGCCACCATGCCAGGGTAATTTTTGTATTTTTAGTAGAAACGAGGTTTCACCATGTTGACCAGGCTGGTTTCGAACTCCTGACCTCAAGTGATCCGCCCACCTCAGCCTCCCAAATGCTGAGATTACAGGTGTGAGCCCAAACTCCTACTTTTAAATCACTGCATAATAGTCCATAGTCCATTGAATGGAGTATAGCAATAAACACTGTTACATATTCTGAACCTCAACTCCCTCCCTCCCTCCCTTCCTCTCTCTCTCTCTTCTTTCTTTCTTATTTTTTGACACAGGGCCTCACTCTGTCACCCAGGCGGAGTGCAGTTGTGGGTTAATCATGGCTCACTGCAGCCGCGACCTCCCCAGGCTCAGGTGATCCTCCCACCTCAGCTTCCGGAGTAGCTGGGACTACAGGCATGAGCCACCTCACCTGGCTAATTTTTTGTATTTCTGGTGGAGAAGGGGTTTCACCATTTTGCCCAGGCTGGTCTTAAACTCCTAGGCTCAAACCATCTGCCTGCCTCACCCTCCCAAAGTGCTAGGATTACAGGTGAGCCACCACACCCAGCCAACTGCCTTTATTTCTGTAAGAGATATTTCCCGGCCAGGCGCGGTGGCTTACACCTGTAATCCCAGCACTTTGGGAGGCCGAGGCGGGTGGATCACCTAAGGTCAGGAGTTCGAGACTAGCCTGGACAACATGGCAAAACCCCGTCTCTACTAAAAATATAAAAATCAGCCGGGCGTGGTGGGGGGTGCCTGTAATCGCAGCTACTTGGGAGGCTGAGGCAGGAAGAATTGCTTGAACCCGGGGGGGTGGGGGTTGCAGTGAGCCCAGATGGCGCCACTGCACTCCAGTCTGGGTGACAGACCAAGACTGTCTCAAAAAAAATAAAATACATAAATAAATAACAATAATAATATGTAAGATTTGTCCCACGGCATTTTGAGGTGATGGCAGGCAGAAATAAAGCCAGTCCCACCCTTTCTGGGCTAGGGAAAGCTGAGATGGTCTTCGGCTCCGGGTGAGTCACTCCCCAGGGTCCAGGCCTGGCTGCCCGTTCCCCTCCCCCTCCAACCCACCTACAGCCCCTTCTGCTCTGCCCCATCAACTACATTTTCTCCCTCAGCACTCGCCTTAGATTCCTGGACTCACAGCACAGAGGCGACCTCCTCCTTGCAGACTTTAGGCGCCACTGCGGGGTCCGGAAAAAAAAGAGAAACGGCCCAGCGCTGTCACTTACATAACCCAGGGCGGGGCTGCGCTCGGCGACCGCAAGCGTTTTGAATTCTGCGCCCCAGAGTTCACTGCGAGGACTGGGATCACCCGTCACCCCGCCCTGGTCTACGGAAAATGACAAGTGTTTACTGATATAGAAACGGAATAACGGCGCTGTGGGCTGGGGTGGGCGGAGCTGCCTTCAGGCTTCTGGTCTCCAGCGGCGGGGAACTCACACCTGCCGCTGTGAAAATGCAGACCCGCGGGGCAGTAATTCCGAGTCCAGCCTGGGGCGCGATCTGGAATCTTGACTCGCTTGAAACACCACGGCGGATTCGGAGACAGGTGAGTAGAGAAATGAGCCTCAGCCCCTCCCACGGGCCGCCCACGGATTCCAGGATCCGGAAACTCTTCCTGCTGCTGCGTCACCCCAGGAAGGCAGCGCCCGCCTCTGGGCAGTTCTGATGGAAACTGGCTTCGCCGCCCAGAGGAAAACCCACAACTAAGGGGCCAAGAAAAAGCCTCCATGGTCCCGCCCTTTCAGTGAGGATCCTAATTTATACCCCGAGTGTGGCCCCCATCAAAGTCTGCAGTGACAGCCGAGCGCGGTGGCTCACGCCTGTAATCCCGGCACTTTGGGAGACCATGGCGGGCGGATCACTTGAGGTCAGGAGTTCGAGACCAGCTTGGCCAACATGGTGAAGCCCCTTCTCTACTAGAAATACAAAAATTAGCCGGGTGTGGTGGTAGGCGCCTGTAGTCCCAGCTACTCGGAGGCTGAGGCAGAAAAATGGCTTGAACGCGGGAGGCGGAGCTTGCAGGGAGCCGAGATCGCGCCACTGCACTCCAGCCTGGGCGACAGAGACTCCATCTCACACACACACAAAAAATGTAGAGTGACGTTCACTGAAATGATACTAGACCAGCGGGAGGGACCCAGAGCGCTGCGGTTCACAGAATGCGGTGACAGCGCCGCCTCGCGTCCTTTACTTCAACTGCCCCAGGCAGACGTGGTCACGTGTGTTGGCCTGGAGGCTGGAATACACCGGGGTCAAATGCAGAGTGGAGAAAGGAGGGAAGGATGGGAGGACGTGTTGAAGAAAGACAGTAAGAGCTAGCGCTATGGTTCATATCTGTAAAACTAGAGTTTTCGGAGGCGAGGCAGGAGGATCGTGTGAGACCAGGAGTTTGAGGTTGCAGTGAGCCGTGATCACACCACTGCACTCCAGCCTGGACGACAGAGTGAGACCCTGCTTTTATATACTTTTCATATTTTCTGTAATTAAGCAAGTTTTGTGTCCGGAATTGGTGGGTTCTTGATCTCACTGACTTCAAGAATGAAACTGTGGACCCTCGCGGTGAGTGTTACAGCTCTTAAGGTGGCGCGTCTGGAGTTTGTTCCTTCTGATGTTCGGACGTGTCCGGAGTTTTTTCCTTCTGGTGGGTTCGTGGTCTCGCTGGCTCAGGAGTGAAGCTACAGAGCTTTGCGGTCAGTGTTATAGCTCTTAAGGCGGCACGTCTGGAGTTGTTTGTTTCTCCCGGTGGGCTTTTGGTCTTGCTGGCTTCAGGAGTGAAGCTGTAGACCTTCACAGTGAGTGTTACAGCTCATAAAAGCACTATGGACCCAAAGAGTGAGCAGTAGCAAGATTTATTGCAGAGCGAAAGAACAAAGCTTTAGCAGTGTGGAAGAGAACCCGACTGGGTTGCCACTGCTGGCTCGGGCAGCCTGCTTTTATTCTCTTATCTGGCCCCACCCACATCCTGCTGATTGGTAGAGCCGAGTGGTCTGTTTTGACAGGGTGCTGATTGGTGCGTTTGCAATCCCTGAGCTAGACACAAAGGTTCTCCAAGTCCCCATCAGATTAGTTAGATACACAGTATGGACACAAAGGTTCTCCAAGGCCCCACCAGAGCAGCTAGATACAGAGTGTAGATTGGTGCATTCACAAACCTTGAGCTAAACACAGGGTGCTGATTGGTGTGTTTACAAACCTTGAGCTAGATACAGAGTGCCGATTGGTGTATTTACAATCCCTGAGCTAGACATAAAGGTTCTCCAAGGCCCCACCAGAGCAGCTAGATAGAGTGTGGATTGGTGCACTCACAAACCCTGAGCTAGGCACAAGGTGCTGATTGGTGTGTTTACAATCCCTGAGCTAGACATAAAGACTCTCCACGTCCCCACCAGACTCAGGAGCCCAGCTGGCTTCACTTAGTGGATCCCGCACCGGGGCTGCAGGTGGAGCTGCCTACCAGTCCCGCACGGTGCGCTTGCATTCCTCAGCCCTTGGGTGGTCGATGGGACTGGGCGCCGTGGAGCAGGGGGTGGTGCTCGTCGAGGAGGCTCGGGCCGCACAGGAGCCCTTGGAGTGGGTGGGAGGCTTAGGCATGGCGGGCTGCAGGTCCCCAGCCCTGCCCCGCGGGAAGGCAGCTAAGGCTCGGTGAGAAATCGAGCGCAGCGCTGGTGGGCTGGCACTGCTGGGGGACCCAGTACACCCTCCGCAGCTGCTGGCCCGGGTGCTAAGTCCCTCATTGCCAGGGGCCAGCAGGGCTGGCCGGCTGCTCCGAGTGCGGGGCCCGCCAAGCCCACGCCCACCCGGAACTCCAGCTGGCCGGCAAGCGCGGCACACAGCCCCGGTTCCCGCTCGCGCCTCTCCCTCCACACCTCCCCGCAAGCTGAAGGAGAGGGCTCCGGCCTTGGCCAGCCCAGAAAGGGGCTCCCACAGTGCAGCGGTGGGCTGAAGGGCTCCTCAAGTGCCGCCAAAGTAGGAGCCCAGGCAGAGGAGGCGGGGAGAGCAAGCGAGGGCTGTGAGGACTGCCAGCACGCTGTCACCTCTCGGTTTTACTTTATTTTAGGATAAAATATCTATTGTGAATTTTAAAAACATGTAAAATAAAATTTTAATTAAAAAGCCTAAATGTTCTTTTCCTATTTATCCTGAAGGAAATTCCTGTTGATGGCGCATTTAGGAACTTATTTATCCCCTGAAGACCTGAGCCCTGCACATATCAAAACTGTACATTCCTTGTGGAGCAGTCTTCTCTTTTGAAATGTAGACACTATTTCCCTAATCTTCAAGCCAGCCATTGTCACTCCTAGTGACACTTCCATTGGATAAGCTCCTTACTCTCACTGAAATTGGCCTCAGAGTTGCAGCCAAGCATTGGGAGCCATGGCAGAAGTCATTGTGGGGTTTGCACCTGGCTGATGTGGAAGGTAGTCCTGAAAGGTAGTGTGTGACTAAGTGGGCTCTGGAGGGCAGGGATGTGCCTGGTGAGAGGAGAACAAGACAGATAGGAAGGTTCCAAAAGAAAACTTCAGGGGTCCCTGTGCCCAACATCGGGATTTAGAAAATCTTCTCCCAGCCACTTTTGACCTGCTTTCATTCCGCTTTCCTGTCTACCAGGCCATTGCAGGCAGTTCCTTCATTGAATAAATATTTATCAAATACCTACCACGTGCCAGGCATTGTGTTTAAGGAGCTGGGGCTGAGGTAAGAGGAACCAAACCCCCCTTGCGCTCAAGGTTGTCCCAGTCTTGCTCAGGCAGAGATCAGTCAGGAAATTGTAACACTAATGGTTGGCAGGACATGTACACATGCTTTGCAAACTCACAAGTAGACCATCTTCTCTGACCTAGGAGTCACAGAAAGTTCACAAAAGAGACAATGTTCAAGCTATGTTTTGAGGTGTAAGTAGGAGCCCAACAGGCACCTGGGACAAGAGAGCATTGCTCAGAATCCAGAACATGAATTTCTTTCCCTGGGCCAGGCCAAGAATCAGACTAAGCTGACTGAGGAGCCAGATGCTTCCTGGCAAGAAAGGGTGTCCCACATCTGACTATTCCAAAATCACAGCTACTCAATGTTGAGACTTAAGACAGACAGAAAAAGAGAAAGGCCTGATTCGAAAAGCAGAATTCTCCAGGGGTGGGGGGAGGTTAAACTGCAGTTTCTGATATAATATGTGTGGGCCAGGCCAGAGAATTGCATTTCCTTTTTTATTTATTTATTTATTTATTTTGAGACGAAGTCTTGCTATTGTCCCCCAGGCTGGAGTGCGATGGCGCAATCTTGGCTCACTGCAACCTCCGCCTCCCGGGTTCAAGTGATTCTCCTGTCTCAGCCTCCCAGGTAGCTGGGATTACAGACGCCTGCCACCACGCTCGGCTAATTTTTTGTATTTTTAGTAGAGACAGGGTTTCACCATGTTGGCCAGGCTGGTCTCGAACTCCTGACCTCAGGTGATCCGCCCGCCTCAGCCTCCCAAAGTGCTGGGATTACAGGCGTGAGCCACTGCGCCCAGCTGAGAATTGCATTTCTAACAAGTTTCCAGGTGATGCCAGTGCTGTTTGTCCCAGGACTACACTTTGAGAATCACTGCCCTAAAGCAACCTGGTTTGATCTCTAATAACAGAAGAGGACTGGGAGAGCACTATGAGGCAGAAGTGTAGGATAAATAAGACCATACTCTGCCCATCCTGGAGAATTCGCAAGCCCAAGGCTGCAGCATTTGAATTCCTTGGGAGTCCCGGGAATTGCAGACACCCAGGAAGAAACTGAATGTGGGTCAGAGGGTGATGCATGCTCTCTGCTTCACACAGCACCTGGGGTTCCTGCCACTACACAGTCTGGCCCCCACACCCTCAATCCTTCCCACCCCTCCTCGAAGCATTGACCTGCAGGCCTTACTCTACTGCCCTCAGCTGTTTGGGCCTGGTATATGACCCTAGGCGCTCCTACCGTACCTTCTGATCCAAATACAGGGTGACCTAGTATGACAACTATTAGCAGACTCATAGGGATAACAGAATGGGCTAAGAATGAGAATCTTTGGTTGCGCACGCCTGTAATCCCAGCCACTTGGGAGGCTGAGGTGGGAGGATCGCTGGAGCCCAGGAGGTGGAGGTTACAGTGAGCAGAGATCAGGCCACCAACATTCCAGCCTGGGCAAAAAAGTGAGACTCTGTTTCAAAAAAAATAAAATAAAATAAAAAGGCCGGGCATGGTGGCTCACACCTGTAATCCCAGCACTTTGGGAGACCAAGGCCAATGGATCACTTGAGGCCAGGAGTTCCAGACCACCTTGGCCAACATGGTGAAACCCTGTCTCTGCAAAAAATACAAAAAGTAGCCAGGCATGGTGGCATGCACCTGTAGTCCCAGCTACTCCAGAGGCTGAGGCAGAGAATCGCTTGAACCAGGGAGGCGGAGGTTGCAGTGAACCGAGAAGATTGCACCACTGCACTCCAGATGGGGCAACAGAGCGAGACTCTGTCTCCAAAAAAAAAAAAATAAATAAGAATCTTGAAAAGTTGGCAAGTGGCTTCAATTACATGTCCCCCAGAATTACAAGTGTTTTTTCTAAATATCACATCCTTGGGCCCACATGGACACCAGAGGGCACCCTGAGCTCACTGAAGCCACAACTGTCGCATTAGACCATTAGAATCCCTTGTAAAGGCCAGGCATGGTGGCTCACACCTGTAATCACAGCACTTTGGGAGACCGCGGAGGGTGGATCATCTGAGGTCAGGAGTTCGAGACCAGCCGGGCCAACATGGTGAAACCCCATCTCTACTAAAAATTAGCCGGGTGTGGTAGCATGCACCAGTAATCTCAGCTACTGGGGAGGCTGAAGCAGGAGAATCACTTGAACATGGAAGGCAGAGGTTGCAGTGAGCCAAGATTGCATCCTTGCACTCCAGCCTGGGCAACAACAGCAAAACTCCATCAGAAAAAAAAAAAAAAAAAAGAATCCCTTGTAAAGACTGCGGTTTGGCTGGGAGCAGTGGCTCATGCCTGTAATGCCAGAAATTTGAAAGGCTGAGGGTGGGCCACGGTGGATCGCTTGAGGTCAGGAGTTCAAGACCAGCCTAGTCAACATGGTGCAACCCCATCTCTACTAGAAATACAAAAATTAGCTGGGCATGGTGGCATGCAACTGTAGTCCCTGCTACTCAGGAGGCAAGAGAATTGCTTGAGCTCTTAAGGCAGAGGTTGCAGTGAGCCAAGATTGCATCACTGCACTCCAGCCTGGCCAACACAGCAAGACTCCATCTCAAAAAAAAAAAAAAAAAAAAGGAGTGATATAATTTTTAGACAATTTTTTTTTTTTTTTTGAGATGGAGTCTCGCTCTGTCACCCAGGCTGGAGTGCAGTGGCACGATCTTGGCTCACTGCAAGCTCTGCCTCCCGGGTTTACGCCATTCTCCTGCCTCAGCCTCCTGAGTAGCTGGGACTATAGGTGCCCGCCACCACACCTGGCTAATTTTTTGTATTTTTAGTAGAGACAGGGTTTCACCGTGTTAGCCAGGATGGTCTCCATCTCCTGACCTCGTGATCCGCTTGCCTCTGCCTCGCAAAGTGCTGGGATTACAGGCGTGAGCCACCGCGCCTGGCCCCAGCTACAATTTTTGTTTTCTCTTAATGAAGGTAAGAGAATTCTATCAGGCTGAGTTTTTTTCTTAAATTTTCACTATGAGTTTTTTGGGTTTTTTTCCTCCTTGGAATTACCTTTTGTGTTTTCACTTGGTTAAAAATTCAAAAGGTTCAAAAGGCAAAAAGTCTCTGTCTTGGCCGGGTGCAGTGGCTCAAGCCTGTAATCCCAGCACTTTGGGAGGCCGAAGCAGGTGGATTACAAGGTCAAGAGTTCGAGACCAGCCTGGCCAACATGATGAAACCCCCGTCTCTACTAAAAATACAAAAATTAGTCGGGTGTGGTGGTGGGCATCTGTAATCCCAGCTACTTGGGAGGCTGAGGCAGGAGAATCACTTGAACCCGGGAGGCAGAGGTTGCAGTGAGCCGAGATCTTGCCATTGCACTCCAGCCTGGGCGACAAGAGCAAGACTCCGTCTCGAAAAATAAATAAATAAATTAATTAATTAAAGAAAGAAAGAAAGCAAACTTAAGACATTTGTTCGGGCTTGGTGGCCCACGCCTGTAATTCCAGCACTTTGGGAGGCCGAGGCGGGCGGATCACCTGAGGTAAGGAGTTCGAGACTAGCCTGGAAAACATGGCAAAACCCTGTCTCTACTAAAAATACAAAACATTAGTGGGCATGGTGGCAGAAGGCTGTAATCCAGCTACTTGGGAGGCTGAGGCAGAAGAATCACTTGAACCCGGGAGGCGGAGGTTGCAGTGAGCTGAGATTGCACCATTGCACTCCAGCCTGGGTGACAGTCAGATTCTGTCCCAAAAAAACCAAACAAACTTAGACGTTTTATGCATATGCAAGCAAATATAAGTGTGTGTGTATACACATATAATTTCCCTCTTTCCACATAAATTTTAGCAAACTACATATGCTTTCCTTCATCTTGTTTTTTTTTTCTTTCTGAGACAAGGTTTCACTCTGTCACCCAGGCTGGGGTATACTAGTATGACTACCACTCACTGAAGGCTTGAACTCTTGGGCTCCCCACTAGCTGGGACCACAGGTGTGAGCCACAACACCTGGCTTTTTTTTGAGACAGAGTTTCACTCTTGCCGCCCAGGCTAGAGTGCAGTGGTGCGATCTCGGCTTACTGCAACCTCTGCCTTCTGGGTTCAAGTGATTCTCCTGCCTCAGCCTCTGGAGTAGCTGGGAAATCCCATCTGTACTAAAAATACAAAAATTAGCCAGGCGTGGTGGTGCACACACCTGTAGTTCCAGCTACTCAGGGGGCTGAGGCAGAAGAAATGCTTGTACCTGGGAGGTGGAGGTTGCAGTGACCTGAGATCTCACCACTGCACTGCAGCCTAAGACAGTGAGACTGTCTCAAAATTTTAAAAAAAAAATTTTTTTTAAAGAAAGAATGAACTACTGATAGGTGCAACAACATGGATGGATTACATAGATATTATGCCAAATACAAAAAGCCAGACACAAAAGAGGCCATACCTATGCATGCATTTATAGGAAGTTTTAAAACAGGCAGCCCAGCACAGTGGCTCACACCTGTAATCCCAGCACTTTGGGAGGCCGAGGCGGGTGGATCACCTGAGGTCAGGAGTTTGAGACCAGCCTGGTGAACATAGCGAAACCCCATCTCTACTGGAAGTACAAAATTAGCCAGTCATGGTGGCTCACACCTGTACTCCCAGCTACTCAGGAGGCTGAGGCAGGAGAATCTCTTGAACCCAGGAGGCAGAGGTTGCAGTGAGCCGAGATCGTGCCATTGCACTCCAGCCTGGGTGGCAGAGTGAGACTCCATCTCAAAAAAAAAAAAAATTAGGAAAAACTGCTCTATAGTGATAGTCATCAGATCCATGGCTACTCAGGGGTAGGGCAGAATCAAAGAGGGCAAAGAGAACTTTCTATATCTTGACAGGGGTGTGGGTGACATGTACTTGTCAAAATTCATTGATGGATTTGCTAAAGATCTGATCATTTCACTTTTTGTAAATGGTGAAATTTTAAAATAAAATTTTAATAAATTTAATAAATTTTAAAATAAAAATATTTTTGCTGGGCACGGTGTCTCACGCCTGTAATCCCAGCATTTTGGGAGGCCAAAGTGGGTGGATCACTTGAGGTCAGGAATTTGAGACCAGCCTGGCGAAACCCTGTCTCTGCAAGCAAATACAAAAATCATCCAGGTGTGTGGTGTGTACCTGTAGTCCCAGCTACTCAGGAGGCTGAGAGAGGAAAATCGCTTGACCCTGGGAGGTGGAAGTTGCAGTGAGCTGAGATCACACCACTGCACTCCAGCCTGAGCAATAGAGGGAGACTCTGTCTCAAAAAAATAAAATAGGGTTGGGGACAAAGGGAGGGAGAGCATTAGGACAAATACCCAATGCAGGCGGGGCTTAAAACCTGGATGACAGGTTGATAGGTGCAGAAATCACCATGGCACATGTATACTTATGTAACAAACCTGCACATTCTGCACATGTATCCTGGAACTTAAAGTAAAAAAAGTAATAATAATAATTTTAAAAATAAATAAATTAATTAAACAAAAATATTTTAATGTTAATAATAAAAAGTAGCCGGGGGCTGTGGCTCATGCCTGTAATCCCAGCACTTTGGGAGGCCGAGGTGGGCGGATCACCTGAGGTCAGGAGTTTGAGACTAGCCTGGCCCACATGGAGAAACCCTGTCTCTACCAAAAATACAAAATTAGCCGAGGGTGGTGGCAGGGGTTTGTGATCCCAGCTACTCAGGAGGCTGAGGCAGAAAAATCACTTGAACCCAGGAGGCAGAGGTTGCGGTGAGCTGAGATTGTGCCATTGCACTCCAGCCTGGGCAACAAGAACAAAACTCCGTCTCAAAAATAATAATGATAATAAATAAGATAATTGGGCCAGGTGTGGTGGCTCACACCTGTAATCTCATCATTTTAGGAGGCCGAGGTGGAAGGATCACCTGAGGTCAGGAGTTCAAGACCAGCCTGGCCAACATGGTGCAACCTCATCTCTATTAAAAATACAAAAAATTGGCTGGGTGTGGTGACTCACGCTTGTAATTCCTGTACTTTGGGAGGCCAAGGCAGGTGGACCAGTGGACCACGAGGTCAGGAGATCGAGACTATCCTGGCTAACACAGTAAAACCCCATCTCTACTAAAAATACAAGAAATTAGCTGGGCGTAGTGGCACATGCCTGTAGTCCCAGCTACCTGGGAGGCTGAGGCAGGAGAATCACTTGAACCCGAGAGGTGGAGATTGCAGTGAGCCAGATCACACCATTGCACTCCAGCCTGGGCGACAGAGCGAGACTCTATCTCAAAAAAAAAAAATACAAAAAATTAGCAGGGCACACCGGGCACGGTGGCTCAAGCCTGTAATCCCAGCACTTTGGGAGGCTGAGGCAGGCGGATCACAAGGTCAGGAGATCGAGACCATCCTGGCTAACATGGTGAAACCCCGTCTCTACTAAAAATACAAAAAAATTAGCCAGGCGTGGTGGCAGGCACCCATAATCCCAGCTACTCGGGAGGCTGAGGCAGGAGAATGGCATGAACCCGGGAAGCAGAGCTTGCAGTGAGCCGAGATCACACCACTGAACTCTAGCCTGGGCAACAGAGCAAGACTCCGTCTCAAAAAAAAAAAAAAGAGTACTGAAGTTCCAAAGGAGAGGATAAACAGGCTGCACAAACAACTTTCGCAGAGTAGATACGTAATCAGTGACTTGAAACACCTGCTGGGCACTCAAACTAGGCCAAAGGAAAGAGAAACAGAATGAGTATATGCTATAAGAACTGGAGATAAGTAAGATTCCTTACTCATATCCTTATCTCCAGTTCTTGGCACATAATGGGCACTCAGTTTATTGTTAGGTGAATAGGCTGCTGTGGAGAAAGGTAAATAAATGATGGAAAAAATTACAAGGGGAATTAACTAATCTGTACACTAAACCCCTGTGACAGGAAATTTATCTCTATAACAAACCTGCTCATATACCCCTGAACTTAATATAAAAGTTTTTAGGCCAGGTGCGGGGCTCACGCCTGTAATCCCAGCACTCTGGGAGGCCGAGGTGGGCAGATCACCTGAGGTCAGAAATTTGAGACCAGCCTGGCCAACATGGTGAAATCCCCATCTCTACTAAAAATACAAAAAATTAGCCAGGCATGGTGGTGCATGCCTGTAGTCCCAGCTACTCGTGAGGCTGAGGCAGGAGAATCACTTGAACCCGGGAGGTGGAGGTTGCAGTGAGCTGAGATCTCACTCCAGCCTGGGTGACAGAGTGAGACTCCGTCTCAAAATAAATAAATAAAATCGGTGAGAAGCTCACTTCCTAAACCACAAACCCTCCTCAAATAATCAGAATTGTCTACTCTCATCTACCCTGCACCCCGTACTCTCCCTCTCTCCACAGTGGCTGAAAGAATGATGGGGAAGAGAGGAAGAAGAAATTGCCTTAGGCCTTCTCCCTCTTCTAGGGTCTCTGTCTTTCCACTATTTTCTTTTAAAAACTTTTTGCTTTTTTTTTTTTTTTTTTTTGAGACACAGTCTCACTCTGTCACCCAGCCTGGAGTGCAGTGGCATGATCTCGACTCACTGCAACCTCCCCCTCCCAGGTTCAAGCCATTCCCTTTCCTCAGCCTCCCGAGTAGCTGGGACTACGGGTGCGTGCCACCATGCCCAGCTAATTTTCGTATTTTTAGTAGAGATGGAGTTTCACCATGTTGGCCAGGCTTGTCTTAAACTACTGACCTCAAGTGATCCACCCACCTCAGCCTCCCAAAGTGCTGGGATTACAGGCGTGAGCCACCATGCCCGGCCAAAAACCTTTTACATGAGCAGGTTTGTTATAGAAGTAAATTGCCTGTCATGGGGATTTGGTATACAGATTAGTTAATCCCCCATGTAATTCTTTCCACCATTTATTTACCTTTCTCCACAGCAGCCTATTCCCTTTGAGGGAAGAGAGAGACCCTTTCGTATTGTTTTATATTGCTTTATACTCAGTACCTGTTTTAAGAAAAAACAAGGAAGTAAAACCAAAGACAGGCAGCCTGGCGCCAGGCCCGAAACCAGGCCTGGGCCTGCCTGGCCTAAACCCAGTAGTTAAAAATCAACCCATGACTTAGAACGCGATGTTATTCCTAGATTCCAGACATTGTATAGAAGAACATTGTGACACTCCCTGCCCTGTTCTGTTTCTCTCTGACCACCAGTGCATGCAGCCCCTGTCACGTACCACCTGCGTACTCAAATCAATCACGACACTTTCATGTGAAATCTTTAGTGTTGTGAGACCTTAAAAGGGACAGAAATTGTGCATTCAGGGAGTTTGGATTTTAAGGCAGTAGCTTGCCGATGCTCGCAGCTGAATAAAGCCCTTCCTTCTACAACTCGGTGTCTGAAAGGTTTTGTCTGGGGCTCGTCCTGCTACATTTCTTGGTTCCCTGAACAGGAAGCGAGGTAACTGACGGACGGCCAAGGCAGCCCCTTGGGTGGCTTAGGCCTGCCCTGTGGAGCATCCCTGCGGTGGACTCTGGCCAGCCTGAGTGACGCGATCCAAAGAGCGCTCCCGGGTAGGAAATTCCCCGGGTGGAACGCCTCGCCAGAGCAGCACGTAGCAGGCCCCCAAGGAGGATTAACACACTGGCTGAACACTGGGAAGGAACTGGCACTTGGAGTCCGGACATCTGAAACTTGGTAAGACTAGTCTTTGGAACTTGCCCCACTCCATCTGAGTGGAAGCATGGCCTGATCACCCATGGTGTGCCTGTACTGGCACTTTTATTCTGGTTTTGACTTGACTTAGATTGTGTGATACTTTGGTTTTGGTTTTGGTTTTGACCTGGCTTGGGTTTTTGGATACTCTGATTTTGGTTTGGTGTAAACTGCAAAAGTGTGTGCGCCCTGTTTTTTTGTTTTGTAGTGCACGTGTGGTGTGAGCGTGGTGTTTTGTCTCGAAGAAGCATGGGTCAGGCACAAATAAGCCCACCCCACTAGGAACTATGTTAAAAAAAATTTTTTTTCAAGAAAGAATTTAAGGGAGATTACGATGTTACTGTGACACCAGGAAAACTTAGAACTTGTGAAATAGACTGGCCAGCATTAGAGGTGGGTTGGCCATCAGAAGGAAGCCTGGACAGGTCCCTTGTTTCAAAGGTATGACACAAAGTAACCTGTAAGCCAAGGCATCCAGACCAGTTTCTGTACATAGACAGTTACAGCTGGTTTTAGACCCCCTTCCCCCTACAGTAGTTAAGAGAACAGTAGCATAAGCATCTGGCAGAGGCAAGGAAAGACCAGCAGAGAGAAAAAAAGGCCATCTATACCAATTCTAAGTTAATTTAGACTAAACAAGGTCTTATTAATAGCAAAGGATAATTGAAATCCCAAACTTACAAGGTTTTCAACAAAAGTGAAGTTTGCTAAAAATTAACAGTATAACATGTATTATGGTAACTTCTAATCTTGTGGCCTTAGACAGTCTAGTCCAAAGACAAAAAAAAAGTTCACTTTAAAAAAAAAAAGCGGGGGAGGCAGAATTTATGTAAAAAGAGTGTTATATGGTAAATTCTTGTCCTGAAATAAATTAACTGGTTGTTTAAAGAAAAAAAAATGTTTGTAATAAGTCAGAAAGTTGAGACATGTTGAAGAATTGTCGGCGAAAGTCGTGAAAGAAAAAATGTTATAAAAAAATTTATGCAAAAAATATTGTGTAATTTAAAAGTAATAAGGCCTCCTGAGTACTATTTAAAAAAAAAAAACAGTTTATGTGCAAGGTGTATAAGAAAAGTAAAATATACCTTTGGTAAAAAGATTATAAGGAGGCATAAGAATGTGGATTTTTACCTACATTAAAAGGTTAAAAAAATTATTGTTTTGAAAGTGTAAGCAAATTTTAAAATGTTAATTGTAAAGAAAATTCTGTGTGTAAACATATTGGCTAAAGTTAAAAAGGTATCATCCAGTTTTTCTGTGAACTGGACATTAAAGTAAAAATGTGACAGGTTTTTCTTAAAGCATCAACCTGCTCTTTAACAAAAATTATAAAAGGTTAAAAAGAGTCTATAAAACCTTACCTTATGGTCAAACATGAAAAATTGGATAAATATGTCTACAAAGTTTTATTAAAATTAAGTTTAACATTAATAACACACTAATATAAAGGTAAAATTTAGCTTACCTGGTATAAAAATCATACAAGAAGCATTATTAAATATAAAATGGTGTTTAGCTTTCTTTGGTCTAAAAACTAATAAAAATAGATGCTAAAGGAAACATTCATTTTACTAGAGGATCATAGAAGTTAAAGACTTAAAACAAACTTTGGCAGTTAAGACAGCATACCAAGATGCAAATGCCTGGTTGGAATGGATTAAATATTCCATCTGCACGTTAAACAAAATCAATTGTTATGCTTGTGCACATGGCAGGCCAGAGGCCCTGATTGTCCCTCTTCCACTAAGGTGGTCCTCCAGTCGACCAGGTGTGGGCTGCATGGTAGCTCTTTTCCAGGATTCTACAGCCTGGAGTAATAAGTCATGCCAAGCTCTCTCTGCTATATCCCGAAGTCTCTGTGGGTCAGCCCCCGAGGGCCATCCAGCTTCCATCTCCCAACACTAAGTTCACTTCTTGTCTCTCACGGCAGGGAGGAGATTTAGCATTCCTTGGAGACCTGAAGGGATGCAGTGAGCTTAAGAGTTTCCAAGAGCTTATCAATCAGTCAGCCCTTGTTCATCCCCGAGAGGATGTATGGTGGTATCGGGGTGGACCTTTACTGGGCACTCTGCTGAATAACTAGAGTGGCACTTGTGCTTTAGTCCATTTGGCTATCCCTTTCACCCTGGCATTTCATCAACCAGAGGAAAAAAAAAGTAAGACATCATAAAACGAGAGAAGCCCCTTATAGGTCTTTCAATTCTCACATCTACTTAAATGCAATTGGAGCCCCACAAGGAATACCAGATCAATTTAAAGCTTGAAATCAAATAGTTACAGGATTTAAGTCAATATTTTAGTAGATGACAGTCAACAAAAATGTAGATTAGATAAACTACATCTATTACAACCAACAGCAAAGAGCTTTTCATTAGTTAAAAAGAAAAACTCATGTCGGCCCCAGCCCTGAGGCTACCTGACCTGACAAAACTCTTTACACTCTGTGTGTCAGAAAGAGAAAAAATGACAGTTGGAGTTTTAACCCAGACTGTAGGGCCCTGGTCAAGGCCAGGGGCCTATCTCTCAAAACAACTAGACGGGGTTTCCAAAGGCTGGCCCCCATGTCCAAGGGCCCTGGCAGCAACTGCCCTGTTAGCACAAGAAGCAGATGAGCTAACTCTTAGGCAAAACCTAAACAGAAAGTCTCCCCATGCTGTGGTGACTTTAATAAATACCAAAGGACATCATTAGCTAATAAATGCTAGACTAACTAGATACCAAACCTTGCTCTGTGAAAATCCCCACAAAACCATTGAAGTTTCCAACACCCTAACCCAGCCACCTTACTCCTGGTAACAGAGAGCCCAGTTAAACATAACTGTTTAGAGGTGCTGGACTCAGTTTATTCTAGTAGGCCTAACCTCCGAGACCACCCTTAAACATCAGTAGACTGGGAGCTGTACGTGGATGGGAGCGGCTTTGCCAACCCCTGCAAAGTGACTCTGAAGAAGGAGACAAGCCCTGCTCCAGTCACACCCAGAAGCTGACTGGTCCACGCACAGGCGAAGCATGAGGAAACTCATTGCGGGACTCATTTTCCTTAAAATTTGGACTTGTACAGTAAGGACTTCAACTGACCTTCCTCAGATTGAGAACTGTTTCCAGTATATACATCAAGTCACTGAGGTAGGACAAAAATTGCTACAGTCCTATTATTTTATGGTTATTATAAGTGTACCAGGACTCTAAAAGAAACTTGTTTGTATAATGCTATCCAAGGTATGTAGCCCAGGGAATAACCAACCTGATGTGTGTTATGACCCATTTTAAGCCTCCCGTGATCACAGTTTTTAAAATAAAATTAAGGACTGGTCCTTTTCTAGGTGACACAAGTAAGGTAATAGCTAGAACGGAAAAAAGAGGGGCCCCCAAAAATGTAACCTTAAAATTTGGTGCTTGTGCCGCTATTGATAGTAAGCAGCATGGAATAGGATGCGGTTCTCTAAATTGGAAAAAAAAAGTGACACAGTAAAAAAAAAATAAGTGTATCTGTCAAGAATTGTATTTATGTGAGATGTGTCAATACTGGTCTTGTGTCATTTGGGCTACTTAAAAAGAAGATAAAAAAGATCCTGTTTGGCGGCTTAGTTGTCTTGGGCAAAAACTGTATAATGGTACCACAAAAAGTTACATGGTGGAGTTCCAATTACACAGAAAGAAATCCATTCAGTAAATTTCCAAAGTTGCAGACTGTTTGGGCCCACCCAGAACTCCACCGGGACTGGACAGCCCCCACCGGGTTATACGCAGAGCTTATGCTAAGCTCCCTGATCAGTGGACAGGTAGCTGTGTAATTGGCACCATTAAGCCATCTTTCTTCTTACTGCCCATAAAAACAGGTAAACTTCTGGGCTTCCCAGTCTATGCTTCCTGCGAAAAACGAAGCATAGCCATAGGTAATTGGAAAGATGATAAATGACCTCCTAAAAAAATTATATAATACTATAGGCCTGCCACTTAGACACAAGATGGCTCATGAGGATATCGAACCCCCATCTACATGCTCAACCGAATCATATGGTTGCAAGCTGTTTAGAAATTATTACTAATAAAACCCGTCAAACCTTGACTGTTCTTGCCCGGCAAGAGACTCTGATGAGAAATGCTATCTATCAAAATAGACTAGCTCTTGACTACTTGCTATATATATATATATATATGTATACACACACCCCATCTCTACTAAAAATACAAAAAATTAGTGGGGTATGGTGGCAGGCACCTGTAATCCCAGCTACTAGGGAGGCTGAGTCAGGAGAATCGCTTGAACCTGGGAGGCGGAGGTTGTAGTGAGCCGAGATCGCGCCATTGCACTCCAGCCTGTGCAACAAGAGTGAAACTCCATATCAAAAAATATAAATAAATAAATAAATAATAAATTAAATAAATAAAATGGGCAGGAAGAGGTCTGAACATAAAAACACTCGACTGCACAGCGACCAAGGAGAGACAACTTAAACCTCAAATTCTCTCTCTTTTTTTGAGACGGAGTCTCACTCTGTCGCCCAGGCTGGAGTGCAGTGGCGCTAGCTATATCGGCTCACTGCAACCTCCGCCTCCCGGATTCAAGCGATTCTCCTTCCTCAGTCTCCCGAGAAGCTGGGTTTACAAGTGCGCGCCAGGGTTTCGCTATGTTGGCCAGGCTGGTCTCCAACTCCTGACCTCAGGTGATCCGCCCGCTTCGGCCCCCCACAAAGTGCTGGGATTATGCTGGGATTACAGGCGTGAGCCACCGCGCCGGGTCTCAAACCCCAAATTATTTTTTTGGGGGGACGGAGTCTTGCTCTGTCGCCCAGGCTGGAGTGCAGTGGCGCGATCTCTGCTCACTGCAAGCTCTGCCTCCAGCGTTCACGCCATTCTCCTGCCTCAGCCTCCCGAGTAGCTGGGACTACAGGTGCCCGCCACCACACCCGGCTAATTTTTTTGTATTTTTTTAGTAGAGACGGGGTTTCATAGTGTTAGCCAGGATGGTCTCGATCTCCTGACCTTGTGATCCGCCCGCCTCGGCCCCCCAAAGTGCTGGGATTACAGGCGTGAGCCACCGCACCCGGCCTCAAACCCCAAATTCCTAAGTATGGATGAGCCAAATCACCCCTCCCACTGCTGAGGAGAGACGCTTGTCTCGGACTGGACTTAACCCAATGGGGTTCAAGAAAAAGGGAAAGTCCCGCCTCCGTAGCAGCTCCAGTCCAATGGGAGCCTCCCGGTACGCTCAGCTGGAAGATGGGCGGGACTACGCTGGCCTGGAGCATGGCACGTGATTCCGCCGGCCTGGTTGCCGGGAATCTGGACCTGAGCGAGAAGCACGATCCCCGGCCGCCCCCGCTCTTGCATCCCCCTGGTCCTACTGCTGTGCTTGCTGGCGACGGTTCGTTCCGGAAGTCAGGCCAGTGACTGCGGGGCTCTGCTCCGCCCTCCATACCTGTTAAGTGTCCCCCTCCCCCACAACGCCTGATCCCCACAGCCTGGCAGCGAGAGTCCAGCCCTCCGGGGAGGTTGAGGCCCGGTGCCACCACCACCACTGGAGGCCTGACGATGCCTGACGATGCCTCACGCGGGTGCTGAGTAGTAGGGGGGCTTAATTATTTAGCACCTCTCCCCTTCCCCTGAGCCATAACCTTCCCCAAACTGTGGCCTTTATGAGGCCTCTTGGGAGTGCTTTTTGGAGCCGGGGGAGGTCTGGGGCGATGGAGGTTGCAAGATAAGGTCAGGCTTAGAGGGTAGGTAGGGCTTCCTCTGAAACTGGTTGTATCTGGTAAGTAATTGTCCCATGTCTCCCACTTGAAGCTTAAACTTGGCCGTAGGAGGTCCTTATGCCTGTAATCCCAGGACTTTGGGAGGCCGAGCTGGGCGGAGGATTGCTTGGACACAGGAGTTTGAGACCAGCCCAGGGAACATGAGGAAAACCTGTCAATACAGAAAATACAAAAACATTAGCCAGGCGTGGTGGTGCACGCCTGTAGTCCCAGTTACTCTGGAGGCTGAGGTGGGAGGATCGCTTGAGCCTGGGAGGCAGAGGTTGGGGTGGGCCTCATGATTGTGCCACTGCACTTCAATGTGGGTGACAGAGTGAGACCGTCTCGAAAAAAAGAAAAGGAGCCAATGATAGCAGCTATGTTTGTTAAAAAAATATATATATATATACGTATATACACATATATATACGTATATGTGTGTGTGTGT
Source organism: Homo sapiens (assembly GCF_000001405.40). Classification (NCBI taxonomy): domain Eukaryota; kingdom Metazoa; phylum Chordata; class Mammalia; order Primates; family Hominidae; genus Homo; species Homo sapiens. Next base: position 2,483,251 of record NT_167249.2, on the reverse strand, counting down.
ATATATATATTTGGAGACGGAGAATCACTCAGTCGCCCAGGCTGGAGTGCAGTGGTGCAATCTCGGCTCACTACAACCTCTGCCTCCTGGGTTCTAGGGATTCTCCTGTCTCAGCCTCCCGAGTAGCTGGGATTACAGGCGTGCACCACCAGGCCCAGCTAATTTTTGTATTTTTTTAGTAGAGATGGGGTTTCGCCTCATCGTGGTTTTTAACCCAGCCTTAAAAATATATTTAAACATAACTACCAGGTGTGTTTTTTGGCATGACCTCTAATCCTCTGAGATTGGTGTAATTTTCTCATATATGAAGAATGTGGCTCATATTCTTGTCCACAAGAGATGGCCCCAAGAGGGATGCACAGCCATAGACAAGTGGTAGGGTGAGTGTCACCTCTGAGTGAAAGTCAGAGCCGTCTCTGAAATAAAGGGGTACAGCAGCGTGGTAGATGGTTTGAGGCCAGGGTAAGGGTTTAATGAAAGGGTTTAAGTGGTTTAAGTGGTATTTGGAGAAGGGAAGGATGGGTCTTCCCTTCAGGGGACCATCTCAGGAAGGCACTGGGAGGTGGAACTGCAGGAGTATGGAGGTGCTCCAACCTTCCTGTTCCAAGTGGGTCAGGTGAAGGCAGGGTGTGGTGGGAGATGAGGGTGGAGACGGCAGCCTTCAAGGGGCCTTGTTTAGCTTGCTAAGGAGCTTGGAAACCATCCCGAGGACAAAAGGGGAATCCTTAGAGGAAGAGCAGAGAGGTATGCGGTCTGATATGTATTTCTGGATAGATCACTCTGATTATATCAAGGAGGACAGATTTTATATGCTTAAGACTGGAGGGAGAGAGACCAGTTAGAAAGACTCTGGCTATAATCCAAGCAAGCCATACTATGGGCTGGTTTGGTGGAGGTAGAGGAATGTCCAGATTGGAGAAACAGGAAGTTAAAAATGGGCAGGGCTTGCTGACTGTTTGAAACTAGGGGGTGTGAAGGGAGGCAGCACTCTAGGATAAACACCAGACTTGCCGATTGTTTGGGAATATCCAATTCTGCTGTAGAAGACAGGAAAACAATAAACTCAAAAGAAGTGTTACACATAGATAACTAAATTAGTCATCTGTAGATAGTACAACATATTCGTGTGTACAGAGATCAAAAGGGACAGAAAGACCAAGGAGGCACTAAATATTCACGGTACCCTAAATACGTGAGACATGAGGCACTCAGGATGCAGGAGGTTTCAATTTGACAGGATGGATGCACACTGCATGACCCACAGTTCAGCTGGTGTGATCATTCCACCCAACTTGCCCCCTCTCCCGTGTGTTGACCCACCCCAGCACCTGCCTCCTGCTTCTCAGAATGTGTTTTACATTTATTTAATAAACGATGTTATTTGAGCATTTACATTTGGTCTGTGAGCCTTTTTGTTCCATGACCTCTCAGCTCACTTCATGCTATTGTGCCAGGAGGCTACATGACATCCGGTAGTTGCCCACACCTCAACCCAGTTCTGGCTTGAGTAAGCAGGCAGGTGAGAGGATGATGCCACTCACCAGGAATATAGGATGAGAGGCAGGTTGTTCCATGGCCAGGGCCAAGAGGAAATACTCAGTTTTGGATGTGTCAGATTTAAGGCCATATGGAACCTTAGGTCCAGATGACCAACAGGTAGGTAGTTGGATATACCGATGTGAAGAACAGGGATGAAGAGATTTGGGAGTCATTACTATTTAAAACAATGAGCCTAGATGAGGCCCTGCAGGGAAACAAGAGATTCCCTTCCCATTGTTCAGTCTGCATTCCCCTTACCCACTCCTTTGGTGCCCTCAAAAATAGTCACACAGCCTCACCACACAGGCACCTTGTGCAGTGTCTCCCAGGTAAGACTCCTGTTGGAAAATAACCCTTTCCCATCATTCTCTTTTCCTCAGCAACCCACTCTCTGTGCTATGACTTCATTACTCTTTCCCAGCCCAGCCCTGGGCAAGCCCCTTACGAAGTCTCAGGCTACCTGGATGACCACCCTTTCTTATGATGCTGCAAGGAGGGCAGGTGGGCAGAGCCCCGTGCATCCTGGGCTCAGGCCAGGGACCCAAGAGCTTGGGAGAAGCTGGTTCTCAGACTGAAGGCCAGAGCCCAGCACCTTGTCACCATCCCGGGGAGCATCATGGCACACAACAACCAGAGCCAAGGTGATTGGGCTTGGGGGCTCAGGAGGAGGCAGAAAAGAGAGAAGAGCTCAATATGGGCCTGAAGATGTGCAGCTGCATTCGTTATTGTTCAGCTAAGATGCATTGAGCTCTGCGTGGGGCACTGTGCTAGGCACTCAGATACCATCCCACTTCACTGAGATCCTGATGCTATCTCCTCCTGCCTGGGGGAGTTCATCCCTGACTCAAACCTTGTTTTATGTACCCAGTGGTGCCAAAAGGACTGGGTCTTAGGTATTAGCAAGAGTAGGACAGAAGTATAAGACCCTCTGGCTGGGCGCGGTGGCTCATGCCTGTAATCCCAGCAGTTTGGGAGGCCGAGGCAGGTGGATCACAAGGTCAGGAGATCGAGACCATCCTAGCTAACACAGTGAAACCCTGTCTCTACTAAAAATACAAAAAAAATTAGCCGGGTGCGCTGGCAGGCACCTGTAGTCCCAGCTACTCGGGAGGCTGAGGCAGGAGAATGGCATGAACCCGGGAGGTGGAGCTTGCAGTGAGCCGAGATCGTGCCACTGCACTCCAGCCTGGGTGACAGAGCAAGACTCTGTCTCAATAAAAAAAAAAAAAAAAAGAAGTATAAGACCCTCACCCTTTCCCTCAGTCAAGGACTAGGTCTCTAAGAAAGAAGCCATTGTCCTTAAGCTCCCAAGCCTTCCCTTCAGGTGAAAAAAGTCTGTTTTTTTTTTGCTCTTGTTGCCCAGGCTGGAGTGCAATGGCCCGATCTCAGCCCACTGCAAACTCCGCCTCCCAGGTTCAAGCGATTCCCCTGCCTCAGCCTCCTGAGTAGCTGGGATTACAGGCGCCTGCCACCACACCTGGCTAATTTTTATATTTTTAGTAGAGATGGGGTTTCACCATGTTGGCCAGGCTGGTCTCAAACTCCTGACCTCGTGATCCACCTGCCTGGGCCTCCCAAAGTGCTAGGATTACAGGCGTGAGCCACCGCACCCGGCCAGGTGAAAAAAATTTATCCAACTTTCTCAAATCCAGGAAATGGGAAAAACTGGCCTTTTTCTGACATTCACCTCTCTCGCCACCACCAGTAGTTAATAAGAAACCTGGTGACCTGAGCAAAATATATTTCTAACCAATATCATTTTTTTTCATCTAGCAAACATTTAAGCCTAGTAAGTGCTGTTCATTTTGCTGTTACCAATAATACACCTTACAATAGCAGCTACTAGTTCTTGAATTCTTCTTGGTAGGTCCTACATTAACACTGGCAAGGATTATCTCATGTTATCTTTACTTGTGTGGTAGAGACTATAATTGTGTCCAGTTGCCAAATGAGGAAAGCAAGGCTTGGAGAGGTTCCATTACATTTGCCGTGGGCATATAGCCAGTAGCTGATGTGTAGATCAGGGATTTAAACACAATGCTGTCTGTGCTGGGCCTTCAGGAGGGTGGGTGAGTATATGTGGCTGAACAGTGCATGCTGGGTACATGGGAGGGAGCCACATGCTGCAGGGGAGGGAGAGCGGGTGCAGTGTGACTTTGGTGGGGATGTGGTTGACAGAGAAGATATGTCTTGGAGAATGAGTGAGGGTTTATCAGTCAGAGGAAGGGAATTTCATGCATTTTGGGAGGAGGTAGGAGTGGAGGTGGAGAGAGCCACTGTTTTGACCTCTTGTAACTTTGGAGTTCTGGGGTTTTGGCTTTTCAGAGTCACACACCCTCCAGACCACGGTTGTCTGTGAGTTGCTGGGGAACCGGAGCAGCTGGGGACACTGGCACTACAACTGTGATGGCCAGGACTCCCTTCTTAGCACACTTGAGTCTTTCAACTCCAGCAAAAGCCAGCCAGAACCAAGCATAGCTGCAGAAGGAGAGAAGGGAAGGAAACAATCCTTCCTGACCTAGAGCTGCGTCTACCCTCTCCGGAAACACCTGAAAGCTGGGGTGGGACCACGGCCCACCGTAGGTGTGATAGGTGCGGACTGGTTCATGTGGGGAAGGTGGAGGAGCTGAGGGCACTGTGGGAGGGATGGAGTGCAGGCCCCTCAGCCAGCCTTCAAAACTCCATTTCAATACCCATGTCCTAAATGAACACAGCTCTGTTGCTGACCGTCCTAGCCACTCTGCTTTCCTTCCCTCTCCCGTGCTTGGTCAGCCCTTTTCCCACTTGGTGTTCAAGTTCTGACCCAGGGCTGAGCACCCAAGGGCTCTCAAGGTGGGGCATCACCTACAGTCACCATGGAACACAGTGGAATGGTGCCTAAAGCCCTGGTGTGGAGGATGTACGGCAGCTTGATAGGACCAGAGGCAGCCAGTTTGTCTGGGAGGTCTTTGCCACCACTTTTCCCTGTCCCGCTAGCCCCCTTGGTGCATGGGACTCTCTGCAAAGCCCCTGGAGAGGAGCCATCCCAACATGCTAGGCCCTTGACTTCTATCCTCCAGTGTCCAGCTAACTTAGCTGAGGGATGGGCTGCCCCAGCCCCTGAGTCCCTGGAACCCTAAGCCACTTGCCCCCTTGCATGGCGCTGCTCAGATGCCCAGAGCCAGCAGTCTGCTGTGATCCCTTTGACGTGAGCATAGGCTCTCCTGTCTGGTGATGCACCAGGCTGATGCTGAGTCTCTGTGCAACCTCAGATGAGCAGCTGGGGTTTGGAGGCATGTAGCAATGCAGTTGCCGAGTGCAGTGGCTCGATCTCAGCTCACTGCACCCTCTGCTGCCTGAGTTCAAGCGATTTTTGTTTCTCAGCCTCCTGAGTAGCTGGGATTACAGGCATGCACCACCACATGCAAAAAAAAACAAAACAAACAAACAAAAAAACCACCTTTTGGTATTTTTAGTAGAGACAGGGTTTCACCATGTTGGCCAGGCTGGTCTCGAACTGCTGATCTGAAGTGATCCGCCCGCCTCAGCCTCCTAAAGTGCTGGGATTATAGGCATGAGCCACCGCTCCCGGCCTCCTCCTATATCTCTTGATCAAACTTCAGGGGAAAACCTGCCAGATTCCCCAGGAAGGATGCTTGGAGGTAGGTGGCAGGGTACAGGGAGGCCTATGCCAACTTCTCATTGAACACCACTCCCAGCTTTCCTACCCCCATTTCTCTTCACAGGTGTGCAGAGAAGTCTACATTCCCATGTCAAGTAAGGGGGGTGGGTAGATGGGAGGGCATATGAGAGCGGGGCAGCAATTTTATGTCTTAGTTGGAAGGAAGTTTAGAGTTCATTGAGTCCAAATCCTCTTTACTAGGTGAGGAAACTGAGGCACAGGAGGGGGAGGTGCCATTAGCCAGGGAGTCAGAGCCAGGACTTAGAACCTGGTCCATGCCTCCTAGTTTGTTCCTGACCAATCCTCCCAGCTCACCCACTCCTTTTGCTCTCACCTCTGACTCCCTACAGGCTACAGCTAGAGAGTTGACTCCTCTATTTGAGGTAAGAGTGTCTGGATTTGGGATAAGGTGACCTCAGTTTGCAGGTCTCATGGGGGAGATCAGAGGGTCCTTTGTTGAGAAGAGGGGACTTGGTCCACAGTGAGCAAAGGAATTTGTCTAAATTGCTATTAAGGGAGATCATCTCCCAAGGTGGGCCAAGCCTGAACCCTCAGCCCTCCATTTCTTCCCTTTCTTTTGCCTTCAGATTGACAGGCCTCGGAAGTCAAAATAAGTGGTTTCCTAGACCGGGTCGAGAGCAAGTCTCTATTGGTCCCAACTGAGTTTTTTCAGCTGGTTTTTCAACCAAACAGCACCTCATCTCCCAGTGAGGGGAAGGGAAGGCTGGGCTGAGAGCAGCAAGGCTGCTCATCTCACCTCTCCCCACCCAGCCATGCCAGCCGCCACACCTGGTGGGGAGAGGTGGGCCTCACCTGGGTCCCCTGGCAGTGCTCTGTGAAGGGTCTTGACATTGCACTGTAATAATAAAGGTGTGTGTGAAGTATCTTTTTATGGTGACTTTCTAAAACCCAGGGAATCATGGGACCAGTTCTGATGACTCAGCCTGGCTTCCAGTCTCCTCCAGGCCCAACGGTGGCCCCCAGCACTGGTTGGGGCCTGGGAGAGCTGGCCTTGGCTGAAGTGAAGCCACCTACCCTTCAGGCATAACAGGACAGTGAGAAGGAAGGAAAGCCTGCCTCAACCTCCCATCAGCCCTGAGCACCCCAGAAGGGGGCCGGCTAGGAGTCTAGGCATGCAGGAGGCTGACCCCTGACTGGGCTCATATCCAGCCACAAGGCAGCCAGGGACCCAGGCACCCACCCCTTGTCTGCGTCCCTCTCGGGAATGGGCCTCTTGCCCAGGCCAGAAATACACCACCTACAGTACAAATTATAATCTAAAAACAAGAGGGTGGTGTTGAGTGGGGAAATTGGGGAAGGTGTTTTAGGAGCCACTAGGAAAATGGGCAGCAGGGACTCTCTGGACTGGCTTGGGAAGAGCGCTTTTGGGGAACCTGGAGGATGGCAAGCTGAGAAACACTGGTGTGGAGATTCCAGCCAAATCCCAGGCCTGCCCCTCCCCCTCCTCTGAGAGGCCGTCTTCTTGGCAGACAGCAGAGAGATGCATGACAAAGGTGCCGTGATGGTTCTGTCCTGGGGATTGAGATGGCTGGGGAGGGGCCTCCTCCTGTTCCGAAGCATGTTCCTCCTACCCCCACCAGGCCCCATAATCTACCTGCCTTTTGGGCAGTTAAAGGCCGAGAAGTGAACACAGCTGCAACCCCACTGCCTTGTAGACCTTCCGGCAGACCTGTGGCAGGTATTGAAATGCACGCATACAATTAGGCTCAAAAAGTCTACACAGACAGGAGATGGGCACACGAACAGAGGCAACATAAGAGTGGGGGAAAAGTCTCAAAAGACTCACGGATGCCACCAAGATGAAGACAGCTGGCCACGGGACACCCATCCCCTTAGAAGGCAGATAGAGCCACTGACCTCAGCAGACAAGCCCAGGCAGGGCTGAGCCTGGAGCCTGCAATGAGAAGCCTTACTTAAGTCGACAGAGGTCAGCGTGCCCAGTCCAGACCTGGCCTTCTGGCCTTCGAAGCTGTGGGGAGCCCTGGCCCAGAGCCCCCTCTGGAGCCCCCAGACTTACCCCAGGCCCTCCACTGAGATCAAGTTTTGGGAGCAGACAGACAAACATCATCCCTCACAGACAGGCATTCCGTTGGCTATTCTCTTGCAAACAGAATCAAGCACTAGACCAGCAGCATGAGCCTCAGGATACTCAGGCCAGGCCCAGAAAAACAGACCCTGAAGGGGAGCTTAGGGCAGCCTTCCTGCACGCCTCCACAAATCACTCTCCACCTCCTCTGCGTCTTTCTGCCAGCCAGCCCCACTAAACAAAGCACATCCCTCAATCTGCCAGGCTCGGGGAGGGACGCACGATGAAGCTGGACGCCTGAGTCCCCCAGAGGAAGGAGGAACTAGATACCTAGGTCCCTGTGGGGGGCCCTTGGTGCCCGTCTGAGGCTCAGTCTTTGAGGGGATTGCAGAGGGGGGTTGCTGGAGCTCCTTTTAGCGTCTCTGAAGGGGATTCTGTGTGAGGGGATTGGGACTGGGGGGTTGGGGAGCAGGAAGCAGTCCCCAGGGGAGCCATCCAGGCCCATTCAAGGGTTGAGCACTTGTTTAGGGTTAGAGCTGCCCCCTCTGGGGACCGGGATTGTCCAGCCAAGGCCATTGTCCTGCCCCCTTCCCCCAGTCCCTCCCAGGCTTCTTTGAACCTGAAGTCAGATATTTTTTCTCCACACCCCCCACCCCCTGGTTTTCCCCACCCAGGGCCTAGGGCTGGAGGCCTGGGCCAGGGAGGTGGGGGAGGGAGAACGGGGCCTACCGTGGTATTAGATGTCTGAGTTTTGGTTGAGAGGGGAGCAAGGAACCTGATGTGCAGGTTCCATAGTGGAGGGGGCCCAAAGCGGGTGTCTTATCACTCTGTTTCAGCAAAGGTTGGGAAACTGAGGCCCAGTCAGTCCAAAGTCTGGTCCCTTGAAGGGGAAGTAGGGGCCAACCCCTTAGTCTGTTAGATGAGGAGAGTCTGGAGTCTGATTCTGGAAGACGGAGGGGTGGGGGGATGGGGGGTGGGGGGATATAGCACGGAGGCCTTGTCTGGCAGTCTACTCTTGAAGATGGGGTGAAATTTGGCAGGCTGGGCAGATGGTGCCAGGCACCCAGGCTGCGGGGTGGCTGGATTTGGCCAGTATCGGGATGGGAATGCCTAGGATTCTGGATGGATCGGGGGAAGGCATAAGGGAGCAGCTGGCCATTGTGCTTATGGCTGTTGATGCATTGAGGGATAGCGCCACACACACATTCAATAAATTTGAGGAGCTGAGAGGGTGACTGGCCCCTGAAGGCACAGTGCCAGAGGTCTGTGGAGAGGGGGTCAAGCACCTGGGTTCCTGAAGAACATGGAGTTGTGGGAGTGATTCCAGACAGCTGGGATGTGCAGAGCCTGAGAGAGTGCCAGGGAGCGGGTTGGGAGTTGAAAGTTGGGTGTGGTGGCTCACGCCTTTAATCATGACACTGGGCGGCAGAGGTGGGAGGATTTCTTGAGGACAGGAATTCAAGACCAGCCTGGGTAACATAGCAAGGCCCCATCTCTACTAAAAATAAAAAAACTAACAGGGCACAGTGGTCCAAGCCTGTAGTCCCAGCCAATTAGGAGGCTGGAGCAGAAGGATTGCTTTGGCCCAGTAGATCGAGGCTACATTGAGCCATCATTGTACTCCACTGCACTCCAGTCTGGGCAACAAAGTGAGACCCTGTCTTAAAAAATAAAAATAAAAAAAGTTTCTGTGGGGGACCTGCACTGAGGTCCTGGAGGGGCGCCAGTTGTGTCTCCCGGTTTTCCCCTTCCACAGACACCATTGCCACCACCATTAGGCAAACATCCTTCGCCTCAGTTTCTCCCCCCACCTCCCTCTCCTCCACCCATCCAGGGGGCGGGGCCAGAGGTCAAGGCTAGTGGGTGGGACTGGGGAGGGAGAGAGGGGTTGAGTAGTCCCTTCGCAAGCCCTCATTTCACCAGGCCCCCGGCTTGGGGCGCCTTCCTTCCCCATGGCGGGACACCTGGCTTCGGATTTCGCCTTCTCGCCCCCTCCAGGTGGTGGAGGTGATGGGCCAGGGGGGCCGGAGCCGGGCTGGGTTGATCCTCGGACCTGGCTAAGCTTCCAAGGCCCTCCTGGAGGGCCAGGAATCGGGCCGGGGGTTGGGCCAGGCTCTGAGGTGTGGGGGATTCCCCCATGCCCCCCGCCGTATGAGTTCTGTGGGGGGATGGCGTACTGTGGGCCCCAGGTTGGAGTGGGGCTAGTGCCCCAAGGCGGCTTGGAGACCTCTCAGCCTGAGGGCGAAGCAGGAGTCGGGGTGGAGAGCAACTCCGATGGGGCCTCCCCGGAGCCCTGCACCGTCACCCCTGGTGCCGTGAAGCTGGAGAAGGAGAAGCTGGAGCAAAACCCGGAGGAGGCAAGTGAGCTTCGACGGGGTTGGGGTGTGGGGAGGTGGTCATGACAGGGCAGCCTGATGGGGAAGTGGTCACCTGCAGCTGCCCAGACCTGGCACCCAGGAGAGGAGCAGGCAGGGTCAGCTGCCCTGGCCAGGGAGGGGTGTGTATCAACTGCAGGCAGCCCTGGCAGGCAGGGGCCAGGTGGGAACTGGAAGCTGGATTTCGAAGAGACAACTGCCGGTGAGGGCAGAGCGGCCTGGGAGAGTCAGAAGCTGGCCCAGGCTGGCCTTTGCTCTGGCCCAGCCCTTGTCAGGGTCTCTCACATCTCCTAGGCCTGCCCAGGGTCTGGTCACTCATTACTGGCCCAGCACCAGACCCAGGTTGGGGTTGGTTTGAGCCCCTTTTCCCACCCTTAGTCCTGCTTGAAAATTTGACCCTTATCAGACCCAAGATTTTGGCCTTAGGGTTAAGCATAGCCTGAGGGTAAAAACAGTGCTCATTCCAGGATTATTGTTCCTGAAAGTCTAGGGTGTGACTCGTTTCTGATAGGATCTCCTGTTTGGGCTGTGTGTGTGCGCGTTGTGAGCTGGGTTTACCTCCAGTCAAGTATAGGGCTTGTCTTCCCCGGATCTCTGCCTCAGGCCAATGACTGGCCACTGTGTTAAGGTGCACACCCTGGCACCCCTTGTAGAAAGCTGGATTTTGATTGACTTCAGCCTCAGTTCCAAAGTTGTAAACAAGAAAAATGGTGAGAGATTTCTCCAGGCCATTTGCAAATATAGAGCTGCTGCGGGATTGAAGGCATCCAGCCCTGCTGAGGACTATTAAAGATGTATCTTCCAGTCCTCCAAGGCGACAAGTGTAAGCAATTAGAGATTAAATACTAAGCCTTGAGACCTCACAGAAAGGTGTGACTGGTTTCTGGAGTGACCGAGAAGCCCCAACCTCTTCGCAGGAGGTCACTGCTGAGCCTTGAATGATAATGGCTGGCAATTGTGGTCCACTTCCTAAGTGCCTGGCTGTGTGCTCCGTTTATACATCATTATCTCATTAACCAGCACAAAATCTCCTAGGGGGAGGTATTATTATCCTATTTAACGGGTTTTAACTGCTAAATGATGAAGCGAGGATTTGGACCAGTGTTTATTCCAAAACCCCAAAACAGAATTTGGAAAATCCAGGATAGCAGAGGGCATTTATCAGTTTGAGTTATTGGCTGAGCAGAAGTTGGGGATGAAAACAGCCTATTTGAAATTGATATGATCAAGCACCATTGAAACACTTCCTTGAGGCTTCAGGACTACAAAAAGGCCTTGTTTTTTTCTCACTAGCTGTGCACCTCTGTCCGCCGGCAGCCTCATATGGCATGCCCCAGGGCTCAGTCCTTCAACCTCTGCTCTATCTACCCTTCCTTCCTCTCACCCACCCTCAAGGCCTAAATGCCATTTAGACACCAGATGACTACCGCGTTTTCTGTCTCTTGTGATGGCTCCCTGAACTGCTCCACCCTGATCACCCAGTTGCTCAAGGCCAAACCCAGTCATCCTCAGTTTCTTTCACGTCCTACATCCTATCCTTAAGAAACATCCTGAATCAATCACAACCTAACCCTGGCCTCAGCCACCATCATCTCTGCTGGGATTACCGCAGTAGCTTCTCAAATTATACTGCTTCCTCCCTACTGTCTGTGGCCAACACGTCAACTAGAGTCAGTGTTTTAAAAGGTGTGGCCAGGCACTTTGGGAGGCCGAGGCAGGCGAATCACCTGAGGTTGGGAGTTCGAGTCCAGCCTGACCAACATGGCGAAACCCCATCTCTACTAAAAATACAAAATTAGCTGGGCGTGGTGACGCATGCCTGTAATCTCAGCTACTCAGGAAGCTGAGGCAGGAGAATCGCTTGAACCTGGGAGATGTAGGTTGCGGTGAGCCGAGATCGCGCCAGTGCACTCCAGCCTAGGCAACAAAAGCGAAACTCTCAAAAAAAAAAAAAAAAAAGGTGAGGCTAGGTGCGGTGGTTCACACCTGTAATCCCAGCACTTTGGGAGGCCAAGGTGGACAGATCACTTGAGGTCTCCTGACCAGCCTGGCCAACATGGTGAAACCCCATATCTACTAAAAATACAAAAATTAGCCGGGCATGGTGGTGGGTGCCTGTAGTCCCAGCTACTCAGGCGGCTGAGGCAGAATAGCTTGAACCCAGAAGGCGGAGATTGCAGTGAGCCAAGATCACGCCACAGCACTCCAGCCTGGGCGATAGAACGAGATTCCGTCTTGGGGGGGAGAAAAAGGGTGAGAGATCATTTCACTTGGACTAAAACAAAGTCACTATGTCTGCAACAGGATCTACCTAGCCACCAGACCAGCTTTGGGCTCTGGAAGGCCCACTTCAGGGCCTTGCCACATTAGACTCTTGTCCTTTGCTCAAACAATCACCTTCTCTGTCTTTAAAAGTGTCACCCTCCTCCATAATCTCCTTCCCTCCTTTACCCTACTCCTATAGACTGCTTTATTTTTTTTTTTAATTTTTGAGATGGAGTCTCACTCTGTCCCTCAGGCTGGAGTGCAGTGGTGCGATCTTGGCTCACTGCAAACTCCACCTCCTAGGTTCAAGCAATTCTCCTGCCTCAGCCTCCTGAGTAGCTGGGATTATAGGGGAGCGCCATGATGCCCAGCTAATTTTTGTATTTTTAGTAGAGACAGAGTCTCACTATGTTGACCAGGCTAGTCTTGAACTCCTGACCTCAAGTGATCTACCCACCTTGGCCTCCCAAAGTGAAGGGATTACAGGCATGACCACTGCGCCCGGACTGCTTTACTTTTTTCCATAATATATATATATTTTTTAAATAGAGGCAGCAGGGGTGGGAGAAGGGGCAGCACGGGTCTCACTATGTTACCCAGGCTGCTTTCTAACTCTTGGGCTCAAGCAGTCTGCCCACCTTGGCCTCCCAAAGTGCTAGGATTTACAGACATGAGCCACTGTGCCTGGCCATTTTTTATTTTATTTACTTTTTTATTTTTCAGAGCAGGAGTGGAAGTTTATTATTAAAAAGTTATAGGGCAGGGAAAAAAGGAAAGTGCACTTGGAAGAGATCCAAGTGGGCAACTTGAAGAACAAGTGCCGAATAGCACTTCTGTCATGCTGGATGTCAGGGCTCTTTGTCCACTTTGTATAGCCGCTGGCTTATAGAAGGTGCTCGATAAATCTCTTGAATTTAAAAATCAATTAGGATGCCTCTATAGTGAAAAAGATACAGTAAAGATGAGGGATAATCAATTTAAAAAATGAGGAGTAAGTACACACAAAGCACTTTATCCATTCTTATGACACCTGTTACTTTTTTGCTGTGTTTGTGTGTATGCATGCCATGTTATAGTTTGTGGGACCCTCAAAGCAAGCTGGGGAGAGTATATATTGAATTTAGCTTCTGAGACATGATGCTCTTCCTTTTTAATTAACCCAGAACTTAGCAGCTTATCTATTTCTCTAATCTCAAAACATCCTTAAACTGGGGGTGATACTTGAGTGAGAGAATTTTGCAGGTATTAAATGAACTATCTTCTTTTTTTTTTTCTTTGAGACAGAGTCTTGCTCTGTCACCCAGGCTGGAGTGCAGTGGCGTGATCTCAGCTCACTGCAACCTCCGCCTCCCGGGTTCAAGTGATTCTCCTGCCTCAGCCTCCTGAGTAGCTGGGATTACAGGTGCGTGCCACCGTGCCCAGCTAATTTTTGTGTTTTTAGTAGAGACGGGGTTTCACCATGTTGGCCATGCTGGTCTTGAACTCCTGACCTCGTGATCTGCCCACCTCGGCCTCCCAAAGTGCTGGAATTATAGGCGTGAGCCACCGCGCCCAGCAAAGAACTTCTAACCTTCATAACCTGACAGGTGTTCTCCTCGAGGCCAGGGTCTCTCTTTCTGTCCTTTCACGATGCTCTGCATCCCTTGGATGTGCCAGTTTCTGGGGGAAGAGTAGTCCTTTGTTACATGCATGAGTCAGTGAACAGGGAATGGGTGAATGACATTTGTGGGTAGGTTATTTCTAGAAGTTAGGTGGGCAGCTTGGAAGGCAGATGCACTTCTACAGACTATTCCTTGGGGCCACACGTAGGTTCTTGAATCCCGAATGGAAAGGGGAGATTGATAACTGGTGTGTTTATGTTCTTACAAGTCTTCTGCCTTTTAAAATCCAGTCCCAGGACATCAAAGCTCTGCAGAAAGAACTCGAGCAATTTGCCAAGCTCCTGAAGCAGAAGAGGATCACCCTGGGATATACACAGGCCGATGTGGGGCTCACCCTGGGGGTTCTATTTGGTGGGTTCCCCTCTGCAGATTCTGACCGCATCTCCCCTCTAAGGAGTATCCCTGAACCTAGTGGGGAGGGGCAGGGGCAGACTCTACCCTCACCCATGAAGAGGAGTAGGGAGAGGGAGAAGATGCTTGGGCTTTGAGCTCCCTCTGGGAAGAGGTGGTAAGCTTGGATCTCAGGGTCACAAGGGCCCTGCGTGCTCCCTCATTTTGCTTCTCTTTTGACTGGCCTCCCCCAGGGAAGGTATTCAGCCAAACGACCATCTGCCGCTTTGAGGCTCTGCAGCTTAGCTTCAAGAACATGTGTAAGCTGCGGCCCTTGCTGCAGAAGTGGGTGGAGGAAGCTGACAACAATGAAAATCTTCAGGAGGTAAGGGTGGGAGGGGGATACCCGGGGACCTTCCCTTTCTTGGCCTAATTTCCATTGCTTCCATCACTGGCTCGTAGCTCTCCGTCTTTGGTGCAGTGGTTCTCAGTGGGATGGAGTGAAATTCCTCAGTTCTGCTGGGATAAGGTCCAGAGCCAACCCTTCCAGGATCCTGCCTTTTCACACCACCACCTGGCTCTGCTGACACATCTAGTCACAGACCCCTGTGATGCTGTTACTCAGCAAGTCCAAAGCTTGCCCTTGTCACCCCCTTCCCACCTGCACAGATATGCAAAGCAGAAACCCTCGTGCAGGCCCGAAAGAGAAAGCGAACCAGTATCGAGAACCGAGTGAGAGGCAACCTGGAGAATTTGTTCCTGCAGTGCCCGAAACCCACACTGCAGCAGATCAGCCACATCGCCCAGCAGCTTGGGCTCGAGAAGGATGTGAGTGCCATGTCTCTCTGCAGGCTCCATCTCTTTCCCCTGTCACCACCTCGCTTTCCCTAGCTCTGGCTCCTCCAACTGCTCTAGGGCTGTTGGCTTTGGACAGAATGTCCAAGCAGTCAGGCCTGTCTCAGCTCATTCTCTAATGTCCTCCTCTAACTGCTCTAGGGCTGTTGGCTTTGGATAGAATGTCCAAGCAGAGTCAGGCCCGTCTCTCAGCTCATTGTCTAATGTCATTCTCCTTTCTGTCGTTCACTGGCAGGTGGTCCGAGTGTGGTTCTGTAACCGGCGCCAGAAGGGCAAGCGATCAAGCAGCGACTATGCACAACGAGAGGATTTTGAGGCTGCTGGGTCTCCTTTCTCAGGGGGACCAGTGTCCTTTCCTCTGGCCCCAGGGCCCCATTTTGGTACCCCAGGCTATGGGAGCCCTCACTTCACTGCACTGTACTCCTCGGTCCCTTTCCCTGAGGGGGAAGCCTTTCCCCCTGTCTCTGTCACCACTCTGGGCTCTCCCATGCATTCAAACTGAGGTGCCTGCCCTTCTAGGAATGGGGGACAGGGGGAGGGGAGGAGCTAGGGAAAGAAAACCTGGAGTTTGTGCCAGGGTTTTTGGGATTAAGTTCTTCATTCACTAAGGAAGGAATTGGGAACACAAAGGGTGGGGGCAGGGGAGTTTGGGGCAACTGGTTGGAGGGAAGGTGAAGTTCAATGATGCTCTTGATTTTAATCCCACATCATGTATCACTTTTTTCTTAAATAAAGAAGCCTGGGACACAGTAGATAGACACACTTATCTTGGTTTGTCCTTCAGTTACTGAGGTGGGGATGGGAATATCCAATGCTCATACCCAAGTGACCCTGAAACTAAGGTGCCATTTACACTCCTTAAGGTCACACAACATCAGAGGGAGAGCTGGGATTGCAGCCAAGTTTATTTGTACAGGGCCCTGTGATAGGCTAGTTCCCAAAAGCCTGTGATGCAAGAACTTTTGCCCATAGACTCAGTCACCATGTAGCTGTTACCTGTTCAGAGCTGGCTTTTTGCTTTCCCACCCTACTCTGGAATTCTTAAATGGCTTTATACTTAGAAATCATCTTATTTCTGTTGAACCTAGATCACCCCAACCAGAAACTTCTATTAATACTTTGTGCTTTCTTGATACCAGGGTCTATTTGGTTTCCACTTAAGGTTTTTGCATACTCTGCCCATAAGTGACTCATTAGTTACTCAAGTTTTATTCCTGGCTCTGCCACTAGTTCATTAGGGGTCTTTGCCCCAGAGTCATTTCTTCCATGTAAAAAAACTTGGGCTCATTAAATCTAGGTAGGAAAGGGCGGATGTGGCAGGTTTTAATAGAACAGGTCAAGATAAGGCTTTATTTCTATAGAAATGATGCTTTGACAATAGTTTGGCTTGGTGTAAGGCTCACAAAAGAAAATCACATGTACCATGTGTGGGTTAAGCGGTTTGATTCACACTGAACCAGGCCAGCCCAGTTGCCCTCTGCTGTGTCCACCCGTGGAGTGGAGCTGTGTCACAGCCATCACACTGGTAAACTGCTGTAGCTGGTTTACCAGGCTTTCTCTTGCCCTGACAGTACAGGTGAAGCCTGTAAATAAATCTTCTGCTATCTTTGTGAACTTAACCAAATCCCAGTTACCTTATTTAAATGGCAATAGATCTGTTTTCCCTTAAACTAGAAACCTTAATTACCTGTATTCCTACCTCCAGCTCAACCCATATATTTGCACCTTTCCAGTAAGCAGGTTTGTATTTCCATCTCTCCCCTTCCCCTAAGATTCTGAATTAGTTCTCCAGACCTTGCCAAGCACATTCTCCCTGGAAAGCAAGGAATATCACAGACCCACAAGAAGAGTAAATGCCCAGGAGTGAATGAAGCGGCTTGTCCTTGACTTGGAAATAAAAGCAAAGCTGTGAAAAGCCAGGTCGCTACGATTTTGTTGGCAGCAGGACTAGCCACAGAGTAGGGAAGTTTTGGGGCCAGGCCCTAGGTTTTCCCAGAATGCCTTGGGTGATGCCACCAAGAACCTTAAGAACTCCCTCTTACATTTTCCATCGGTTGCAAGCATGGCTTTTGCAACTGATAGGTGCTCTGACTACAGATATTCTGGTGTCCATGGCAACATGGCCTTATGGCTTGTAATAGTGGGAACTTCCAGCTCACTGGCAATTTCCTGGAGGTGGCAATATCTTTGGCAGGAAACCATCTCTTCTGTCTTGGCCACCAGGGTCTGCTCCAGGCCCTGAATGAGTCCACATCAATCCATCCTTCTTCCCTGTAGTCATTCCCTCCTGGGGAGGGAAGGGAAGGGGGGTATTTATCAGACCTATTTGCTCGCTGCTGTGTCTACTCATGGGCAGGTGTGTCCGATGGTGCCTTGGCGGTGGACCTTAGGTCTGAATGCCAGCCCGGCACCCTGGGCATCGGAAGTCGGCCTCCCTGGCAGCCTGGATGCTGCAGCCAACACAGGCCACATGGAACCAGACGTCACAGCCATCACACTGAACCCAGGCCACTGTCTCTTCCTGGGGCAGGCAGCAACAAGGAGCTGCACAGGGCTCCCCGCCCCCAACTGCAGGGGGAGCCATGGGAGCGCTCACTGGGTACTTCCGAGGACGGCCACGTCGATTTCTGAAGGAAGTGACACAGACACAAGGGTCACCGGAAACCTGTAGGAGAAGGCCTAGACCTTGCCACCCTATGGCTGGTCATAGGGTGAGGCCACAGAGGCACAGTGGTCTGAGAACTAAGGTGAGCCTGGACTCTGTCCTTAAAAACACATAGGGTGGGCCTAAAAACCTCTAGTGTGAGCCTGAAAGTTCCCCATCCTTAGGCACTAGAAGAATGGGGTTAAAGCCATATGAACGTAAAAAGCAGGACATGCTCACTCCGGTTGTTTTATAAGCACTGCCCCACCCCACCTCTCATGTTCTCCTGCACATATTTTTCTTTTCCTATCAGAGCTAACCCAGGTCTTGCCATTCCATCTATTCCACCTCCCGTGCCCATCCCCCCAGGCAGGGGGACCTCCTCACAGCCTAGGGATACAAGGAATCGAAAAGCAGTAAAACACTGAGAGGGCCAAGTGAGGACTCCACTTACCCAGTGGGAGTCAGTGGGGCTTTGTCTACACGGAGTTTCTTCCTGGGCTCCATAAGGACCGGTGGCGGGTTCTCAGGAGGCTCACTCTCATCATCCAGTTCCGCCAACACTCGGTGAACAGATTTCCTCCGATTGCGTTGGGGTGGAGCAGAAGGCGTGGTCCCCACTTCCCCAGGTGGGGCGGGAACAGGCAGGCTCTTTGGTCCACCCCAACTAGGGGAGAAGGTGAGGGGCTGGGGCCGGAGCTTGCTGAGGCTGCCTATGGAGTTTAGGATCAGTGTGGCCTTGGGGGCAGGGGAGAAGGTGCTGAGAGGCCGCTGTGGAGCCCCCTGGGAGGGCAGCATAGGCCGGAAACCAGCCCCAACCCGGGCTTCTCCCCTAGACCGTGGGATGGTAATGGCAGCAAAGTCCTGAGGCTTGACTCGTACTTGTTGGAACATGAAGTAGAACTCCGAGGGGCTGGTTCCTGGGGGCCCTTCAGGGCCAAAGGTCAGGAGGTCTCCATCACTCAATTCCAGCCTGTGACCTCTTGGGAGTCGGACATTATTGACCAAAGTACCTGTTGATGGTGGGGCACCAGGCAAATATGGAGGACAAAAACAGAAATGACCAGAGTCAGGAGTGGAGAAATCTGTATGATTTCTGGGGAAGAATATGAAACTGTAGTCAGATTCTCCCTCACATCCTAAGCCCCTCAGCAGGTGACAGGTACCAGGCAGTACACTCCTTGTCAGCTAGGAACAAGTCTGTGTTTCTTGTGCTTTCCTACAAAGGATCCCTGCCCTCACTGTCCTAAGGTCCAATTTTCTTTCTTTCTTCTTTTTTTTTCTTTCTTTCTTTTTTTTTTTTTTTGAGATGGAGTTTTGCTCTATTGCCCAAGCTGGAGTGCAGTAGTGCAATCTCAGCTCACTGCACTCCGCCTCCCAGGTTCAAGCAATTCTCCTGCCTCAGCCTCCTGAGTAGCTGGGATTACAGGCATGTGCCACCACGTCTGGCTAATTTTTTTATTTTTAGCAGAGACAGGGTTTTACCATGTTGGCCAGGCTGGTCTCATACTCCTGACCTCCTGATCTGCCCGCCTCAGCCTCCCAAAGTGCTGGGATTACAGGTGTGAGCCACCGTGCCCCGCCCTAAGGTCCAGTTTTCAAACATGCTCACTCTCCCCCAGCTCCAGCTCGTTCAGATCCTAGCTCTACCACTTACCAGTTATGTGACCCTGGGCAAGCTTTTGGTTTGTTTGTTTGTTTGAGATGGAGTCTCGCTCTGTCGCCCAAGCTGGAGTGCAGTGGTGCGATCTCAGCTCACTGCAACCTCCGCCTCCCGGGTTCAAGTGATTCTGCTGCTTCAGCCTCCTGAGTAGCTGGGGTTACAAGTGCACGCCACCACACCTGGCTAATTTTTGTATTTTTTTTTCAGCACAGATGGGGTTTCAACATGTTGGTCAGGATGGTCTTGAACTCCTGACCTCGTGATCTGCCCATCTCGGCCTCCCAAAGTGCTGGGATTACAGGCGTGAGCCACCGCGCCCAGGCTTTTTTAAAAAAATTAATTAATTTTTTGGTAGAGACAGGTTTTCACCATGTTGCCCAGGCTGGTCTCGAACTCCTGAGCTCAAGTGATCCACCCTGCCTTAGCCTCCCAAAGTGCTGGATTATAGGTGTAAACCACCATGCCCAGCCCTGGACAAGTTCCTTAACCTCTTTGTGCCTCATTTTCCTTTACTGTAAATGAGGATAATATTAGTACCACCTACATTCAATACACTTAAAATAGGGCCTGGCTCATAACAGTAAGCACTAGATGAATGTTGGCTACTATAGTCTAATAACCATAACACTCCTACAGCTGACTTTACCAAGAGGCAGTGGCAAAACTCAAATGTGAATCTAGGCTTTCTGAGGCTAACTGCCTCAAGTCACGGAGAAAGACATGCCCAGATTATTAAAAACATTATTCAACATAGAACTGCCCTAACCCAGGAACAGAGTGCCTCAGCAAAGCTGGAAACTGAATCAAGTCTAAACTTGGCCTCTAGTGGCCTCAGAACATCCCCACTGTGATATCTTTCTGATGATATCCCAGGTCCTGTATGAGCTAAACGGGACCAAAAAGGGTCAGTCTGGCAGAGAGCTTCTGACTGTGCACACTTCTGGTGGGAAGATGAAGGTCTGGACCACGACCATCCATCCAATCTGATGGGAGTATGGGAGGCAGGCAGCAGGGTCTTGTGGAGACCTTACTCATTCCAGCCTGGCGCTTCAACCACCCAGGGGCAAAGCTGCCCTGCTTAATGCTCACCTTGGCTGCTGTGGTCTTCCAGGCTGACCCTCCAGTCATCACCCCGGGGCTCGGCATGCAGTTCGGCGTGGATCCCAGAGATGAGGCCAGGCTCCTGCTGGGGCCGCAGGGCCACATCACACAGGTCGGCCCTGTGGCCCAAGCGATAGGTGCAGCCAGCCCCGGCGGGGGGGTGGAAGGTGTAGAGATCACCGCCCCTGCCGCCCCCTATGCGCAGCAGTTGGAAGCAGGGCAGCATGGGCGGTGCCCCCTCTGCACCACCTCTTCCACTTCAGGCATCCATTTCCTTTCCCACTCCTGGGCCACGCACCGCTGGCTTAAGTTCGCTTCCCAGTCTGATGCAAACTTGAGTTGTGCTGTATGCGGTTTCAACTTTGAGCACACTACCTGAATAGCCCAAATTCAGAGTGCAAGCAGCCTAGGACTCAATGCAAAATTGGTTAAGCCGACTTGCAAATGAAAAATTCCAGGAAGGTCTCCGTGCAATGCAAACTCAGGAACACGTCCTATGGCACCTCACTTGAGCTGGATCCTCAGATCGCAAAATATTTGGGGAGCCTCCAATCTGCAAGGCAAGGATACTTTAGGCAGCTCCTGTGTGTGTCGGGGTGGCGGGGCGCGGGGAAGGAGGTCCTGTTATACACACGTCTACGTGCAATACGAACACATCACCTCTGTGTAATTCGGAGAAGAGTAGCTTCTTCCTGTCAAACTTGCTTATCCTAATAGAGCACTCCTGCTTGCCTGCGCCCCGATCTTCTGGCCAATCCCTCACTCATAACTGGTTGAACCTCCGAGGGCAATGAATCCACTGTCATCCCCCAAAAGAAAGTGCAAACGAGTCCTTAAGTACTCCAACAAATTGGACCTAAACCCCTACTTCCCGGCTTCTCTAGGTGGGATAAAAACAGGAAGGAGCTCCCCGCGATCATGCAAGGCATACCCGGCCTTTTCCCACTCCGCCCCAGCCCCGTTTCGGATCTACCCGCGCGGCGCAGTCTCCGAGTAGCCTCCTCTTCAAGCAGTGCCAGCCTGTGCGGCGGATCCCGGGACCCCTTGGGCTCCTCGGCAGGAGCCGACGTTGCTGCATCTGTTTGACAGCCAAGAAGCCGGGGCCAGGAGGGGCGCGGCCTCTGCGCGCGGGCAGCGCCTACCCCTCCTTCGGAATTCCCGGGCCCGAACTTCGCGCCGAGCGAGCCCGCCCCCGTGCCGTTCCCGATTGGCCAG